>NC_000007.14:150973531-151125046 GCF_000001405.40 Homo sapiens
TGCCTCCTGCCAGTTAGAACCCTGATTTGCTGTGAGCGAACCTTCTTCCACAGGGTGCAGGGACCATGCCCCCTCTAGTGCCGTCCAGTGATGCCACAGACTGTGCACGCCTGCAAAAGCACAGCCTGGAGGATGCAAAGCTTTGCAGGGCCACCCCAGCCAACCCTGAGCACACAGGGCTGGCACATGGGGCTGGCTGGCCTGGTCCCAAACAGAAAGCAGAGCGTGCTCACTGTCTACAGCAGACAAGCTCCCTGAGGGCAGGAGCCTCATCTGTCCTGCCCATCTCCAAGAGCCTAGTGCCTGCCAGGCTCACAAGGGTTGAGTCAATGCTTATGGGACACACGCTAGGAAGCAGCAAGGTTTGCACGCGTTCCAGAGCCGCCTCTGCAGCCGGATTCTGCCCACAGGACCCCAGTCCTCCTGCTCTGCCCGCCCTGACCAGAGCCCACCCCAACAGGGCATTCACGGTGTGGGAGCAGCCCCACCCCGGGCTCTGTTTATCCGCTCTCCGGAAGCCCAGAGCAGCTGTGCTGGGAGGCGGTGGCTGAGTAAAGACACCTGGCGCAGGAGAGGGTGGCAGGGCGGGGCGCTCGACAGCTGAGACAAAGGGAACTGAGGTTGCGGGGAGAGGCACGCACCTCCCCCAGGTGCTGCTGAAGCGCAGGGCAGGAGGGGGGCAGCAGAGACAGCCAGAGTCCTGCAGCCCTCCTGTCCCTCCATGACATCTCCCAGACCTGTCACCTGGCAGCAACTGCCCTAAGGTAGATAGGGGCCTGTGCCCGGATGTCAGCGCACAACTGCCAATCTGACCTTTAACCTCCATCCACGCACGTACCTGCCATCCCAGCTCGGTCTAACTCTAGTCCAACTTGCTCTACGTGCCCACACCTGCCCAGGGAAAAAAAGGACCAGAGGAGCCAGACCCACAGCCTAGCAACTCCTTTGCCCTCCTGAAAACCATCTCAGCAGAGTGAGGCGCAGGCCCCGGAACCGCGCCTCCCACAGGCACACCGCAGGGCCCCCGCCCGCGTCACACCCCCACAGAACCCTGCCCGGGCTCGGGGCGTTCTCCAGCCGCCCCCACACCCCCACACCCCCACGCACCCTGCCCCTCGCCGTGGTCCCGCCCCTCTTGACCCCGCCCCTGGTCGTGGCCCCGCCCCGGCCCGCTCCTACCATCTTTCCGGTAGAAGGCGATTTCCACTTTGCGCTCCTCGGCGCCCAGCAGTGCCTGCGCGATCTGCGCGGCAGCGCGGCGCTGCGTGCGCGGCCCGTGCAGGAAGTCGCAGGTGCAGGGTCGCTGCATCACCTCGGCCCGCGAGTAGCCGCACAGCTCGCAGAAGCCGTCGTTGCAGTAGATGACGGCGCAGTTCTCCACCCGAGCGTTGGCGATGATGAACTTACGGCCTAGGGGGGCGGGGAGGAGAGTGCGCGTGAGCGGGGACCCCAGCCTCCGGGACTCCCAGCCCTTCCCCACATTCTCCACTCACACAGCCGCCCGGGGACTCCCCGCCACAGGAAGCATGGCTGGGACTGGGGTCCCAGCAGGGGGCGAACGCAGCTGTGCGTGTGCCCCGATACAGGTGCCTGGCCGGCCGGGCCGCGCGGCGCGCCCCCTCCTCCGCCTGGCCCGCGGGCGGGCTGCGTGGCTTCCCCCGGGCAGGCCGCCAGCAGCCCGCCGCCTCCTCCATGCCCGAGGCTGAGGCCAGCCTGGCGGGTGTCAGCAACGCGTGTCAGCAGCCGCGGCGGAGGGATAAACACTGGGCCTAGAAAGGGAGCCTGGGAAAGGCCAGAGATGGCGGCCAGGATTCCCTTTGCATCGGCTCTCTGGATTCTGCTTTTAATTTCCCTGCTCTCCAGACTGGGGGGCGCTCCCTGAGCCACTCCTTATCCTGAGGCTCCCTAGGAAATCACTCCCCGATTATCTGAGGATCCTACCAGGTCAGTACCCCCTAGAACTTCTGCACACCACCCCCGCCCCAAGGGCAGTCAGGAGCTGAGGGGTGGGTGTGCCAGAGAGGATGAGGGAAGTTACACGTTGAACACCTAAGGACGCTGCATCTCATTAGGTCCTCTGACAACCCCATAAGGTAGGTGTTATTATCCTCCTTTTATAGATGAAGAAACCAAGGCTCCAGAGAAGTTCGGCACCATGCCCAAGTCTTGCAGCTTGTAAATGATAGAGCCAGCTTTTGAACCTTGGTCTGGCAGAGGCAGAAGAATAAGCTGAGGGTCACAGGCAGAAGCCCAAGGTCATAGGAAGCAAAGAGAGGGACCTGCAGCTCCAAACCCTGGACACACCTGGAGCCTGGGCGGGGCCTGAGACTTTGGCCCCACTTGTAGGAAAACAGACCCAAGAAAGGGGACCTGCCCAGGGATGTGAGGCCTTCCTCAGTTTGGCCTCATCCTGGATGAGCACCCCCATGGTTCCATTTCTGCCAGACTTGGCTCCCTGACTCCAGGCCTGCCCGGAGAGCCAGGCTGGCGAGTGAGCAGCAGGCAGGCAGCAGCCTCACTTGTGCCAGGCAAGATGCTCCTGGGATAAGAGCTTTTTATAAACAGAAGTTTCCGGCCACTTTGGCCTGTAATGCTGGGGCTTTCAGTAGCAGTTGGAATTCTCCCCCTCCCTTCCCCTCCCCTCCCCAGCAAGCATAGCCCTCAGGTTGCAGCCCTAGGCAATCCTACGTGCAAAGCTGGGCTGCAGCAGGGCACCCTGAGATAGGCCCAGGCCATCAGGACTTGGCCTCCTCCCACCTTTCTCGATTCTCCCTTCCCCTGGCCCCCAGAAAGTTGCCTTTTGGAACTGGTTCATCTTTTGGCCAGTTCCCAAGGCCCCCCAGACCTCCCAGGCAGCCATCAATTCCAGGAGTCAGGGTTTCCTGTCACCTGAAAAGACCCCCTAACTCGGCCTCCAGCTCTGCCACAGTCCAAGGCAGTCCAGAGGCCCAGCCACACACCCCAGCTTCATAGAAGAAAAACCACCCCTTGTCCTCTCTCCCAGGCTGGGGAAAGAAGAGCAAGTTTCTTCGAAGGCATGCCCCACCCCACCACACACCCTTCACTGAGATCCTGGAATACAGGGATGGGACAGAAAGCCTGCCCCTCCTCCACAGACCTGGAACCTGAGACCCAAAGAGGGAAGAGTCACTCAAGGTCACATGGCAGTCAGTGGCAAAGGTAGGGCTAGAATCCAGCACCCCCCCCCACATCCATCCCAGCCTCCTCGTAGGCCCGCCCACAGCCTCCCCCTGGGCCCACCCCCACCTCTCAGGGAGGCCCTCAACCAGTGTCATTGTCTCCACCCCCTCAGGATCATCTTGTTCCTCCGCTTCACACAATACTGACCATCGGACTGACCCCTCCTTCCCCCAACCACCGTTACAAGCACGCGTTGTCCTGTGCTCACAGGGTCATGGACAAGGAATGTCATCCTCTCCCAACTCCCAGGGCCCTTGGCAGTCACACCCACTGTGGCTCATGCAGCCTTAGGGACAGGCACATGAATGCTGCCCACCCCCAGGACATTTGCCTAATCTGGGACCCTTCTAGAAGCCTCCCTACCAGGCAGGCATTAGGGGTGCTGTACTCCCGGTCCCCATAAGGGAATTAGGTGACAGTCTCCAGGGCAAGAAAACCCACAACTTGGGGGTACCACAGGGAGCTGCTTACCCTCAAAGCCCAGCTCTAGCCCCAGGACACCCTGTCTCCACAGAGCCCACAAGCTCGCAGCCTTGTCAAAGACACCTCCCCACCGCCCATACAGGGTCTAACTCACGGGTGACACATGGGCTCAGGGTTATATACACACGGCACACACAAGAAGAGATTATGAGCTGACCCTGCATCCACGGCTTTTCAGTCCCTCCGGCACAACACAGTCAAGATCTGGCAAGACCAGTGTGCGCGCTGGACTCTCGGGATCCCAGGGTTTGGGTCGTACACACTCTTATGCCCTTGCACACAGCCCCATCCACGTCCACGCACCCAGAGTTGGGGACACCTGCACACTCCATCCCACATCCCTTCCCTGCACACTCAGCGTGTCACACACACTCCGATCCCAAAAGCCTGAGCTGAGTTTCCCGCCCCAAGCCCCAACCCCAAACCCTTTGGCCCGGTGCCCACGGCCCCGGTGCACCAAGCCTTGCCCCCGCCGTCCCCTCGCCAAAGCCTGGGGCCCACCAGGCCCCATTGACTCGCACTTGCCGACGCACACGGCCCGGGCACGCCCCCCCATCCACACTCGGAAGAGCTCGGCCCGCCCCCAGAGCCCCCTCCCCGCTCAGCCCCCTCCCCCACTCACTCTGGCCCTCAAACTTGCGGATGATGGTGTCCAGGAAGGTGTTCTGCGGCGCGACGTGGCCCCTCCGCACCGGCATCCTGAGCCCATGGGCGGGCCGGGCGGGCCCCCACCCACCCCGGCCCGGCCCGGCCCAGCACTAGGCTTCGGGTGGCCCGGCCGGGCCGTGGTCCCCGCACCCCGCGGCCAAGCCGAGCACGGGCGCGGCCAAGACTGGACTGCGGGCGCCGGGTCCTCGCTCGGCTCCCGGCTCCCCGCTCCGGACCCCGGGCCCGGCCTGGAGCCGCCTGAGCGCGAGCCGCCCGCCGCCGGCACACCTGTCTGCCGGCCCCCGCCGAGCCGCGGGGCCCGCTCCGCCGCGTCCCCGCGCTGCGCTCCGCCCGCCCGAGCCCCGGACTCCTGGCTCCCGCCTGCCACCGCGCCGACAGCCGCTCCAGCGCCCGCGGCTCGGGCAGCGCCTGCGGCTCGGCCCGGCCGCGGAAGGGTTAATGCGGCGCGCGCCCCTCCGGCTCCGGCCCCCGCCTCCCGGCCCCCTCCCGCCTGCCGCGCGCCCGCAGCACCGCCCTCTCCCCCCCCCATCCCGCCCCACCGCGCGCGCCCGACCTTCCCATTGGCTGAGCCGCGCCGAGTGCTCCCCCAACGCCAGCCCCTCGCTCTGCCAAGGAGCCCCTGGGACTCGCGCGCCCAGAAGAGGGGGAAGGGACCCTTAGGCAGGGGAAACCGTGAGGACAGGTGCCATGGCCGGCTTGTAGGCGGCCGGGATGGGGGAAGGGATTCCACCCCCACCCCAGATTAGCGACTAAGAAACCTGATTTGAAGGGAAACGGCGGGTCCTTATGCCCTGGTTCCCCACCACGCCGAGCACTGGCTTGGTATACACAGCACGCGCTCAGTGCCTACTGTGGGTGACCGGGGCAACGCCTGGACCCTCGAAGACGAGCCCGGAGTCAAGGGAGACCCTGGAAATAGGAAAAGCAAGACAATCTGAAGGCCCCAGAGCAGCAGAGCTCTGAAATAAGGGAGGGTTAAACTTAGAAGGGGCACGCCCCCTGCCCCAACACACACACACACACACACACACACACACACACACACATACACACACACACACACACACACACACACACACACATACACACACACACACGGAGAGAGAGAGAGCCCTCTGTGGGGCTCTGCATAGGAGCTGCACAGAGAGGGACATTCTGACAGCAGTTGCGGCCTCCTAGCTGCAGGATCAAAGAGAGGTCCCTGAGCGCGAGGTTCCAACCAGGGGATCCCCGGGTGCGAGCGGCCCGCCCTCCCCCGGCAGCCCGGGGCCAGCCTTGCACGCCCAATCGGCGGGCTCGGGGCCCTGCGGCGGCGGCCACGGCCCAGCCCCTCGGAAAGCCCTGGCCTAGCCGCAGGCCCCTCCCCCCGGCCAGCTGGCTCGCTCCAGCTGCGGCTCCCTTATTTAGGCAAGGAGGCCTAGGGATGCTCAAGGGCAGGCGGGGTGTCTGCCCCGCCGCCTGCTCATCGCCTGCTTGCGTCTGAGTGAGGGTCTCCGGGCGCGGTGTCCTCGGACTTAGCAGTCAGGCAGGGCCCCGGGAAGGCCAGGGCGGGGAGGCGAGTGTTGACAGCTGAGTGGGCGGGCGGGGAGGGAGGAGTCGCAGCTGAACAGCCGAGGGTCCCCTCCCTGCAGCCGGATCAGAGACCTGTCTAGATGGATGGGGCCATGTGGGGGCTCCTGAGGGCTTGCAGCTGCCTCTGTCCTTGGAGCAGGGGCTGGGTCTTGTCACCAGCGAGAACCATCATGGGGGGAGGGGAAGAACAAAGGGCAGGGAAGGAATCGGAGTCCCGAAGGAGGAAGGCGCAGAAAACTGTCGTCGTGAGACCACCCTACCCGGACTCTCACCTTCCACCCAGGAGCACAAAGATGCAAACACTGGGGCCAAATGGGGCCACTGGCCAGCAGATGACACTCTTTTTTATTTGCTGGTGGGTGGGCAGTGACTCAGGGAGGCAGCCAGTGGGAGAGAAGGAGGTGGCTCCACAGCTGATGCTAAAAAAGTCCAGAGGCTCTTGCCTGTGCAGTTATTCCTCAGGCCCTCTCCACTGCCAGCAGTTTCCTCACTCACCCCCCCGGGGGCCCAGGGCCTTCCACAGCACAAGCTCCTCCTTGGTGTAGCATTTGGCATCAGGTGCATCAACACATCTGGGTTCCGGGTAGAACCTAGTCCACGACTGGCCCAGCCCCCGCCACGCCCCAAGGCCACCCCTGGCTGCTGGGTTGCCTACCATGAATCCAGGATGATTCATGTGTGAGTGAAGTGTCCTCCTGTCCAGGCCAGGGGATGGAGAGAAAGTGAGCAAAGGCCAGCAGCTGAGAATGGGCATGGGAGGGCAAGAAGGGAAAGGGACATCTGTAGCCTCCCCCTCTCTCCAGACCAAGGGAGAGGGAGAGCCAGGCCCTGAAGGGAAGGAGCCACTCATCTGAGCTGGCCAGCTGTCCTCCACTCCTGTACCCGTGTTGCTGGGACAGGCCTCTGCTCTTATCCCAAAGGGAAGACAGGAGTCAGAGGAGCCCTTCATCCTCCCAAACAGAGAGGAGCCCAGGCACGGGGTAGCCCTCCTTCTGTGCACAGAGGCAAGAAGAGAGCTGTTCCCTCAAGCTGAGGAGAGACAGATCTCTCCCTCTCTCCCCCCAGCCCACTCCACATACTCAGAAGTCAAAGCTGAATGTAGATTTCTGACTTCCTTGGAGGCTCAGGGTAGAGCCTGAAGGCAGACCCACTTAGCCGCCCCCACACTCAAGAATTGAGCTGAGGAAGAGAAACGGTGAGAGGGGGCAAGCTCTCCCCAAAGCAACATTTCTGGGCCTCAGATGAGCTGATGGAGAAGCCCCCACTGCCTTCAACTTCCCACCTCTGCTACCCCCAGATCTGGGACAAAGAGAAAAGTGCCCAACCCTAATACCAAGAGCTGGGCTGTTAAGCCTCTAGAATCTGCCCCACCCCCATCTCAGCTCCAAGAGCCATTTCAGAGACCATTCCTGGGAAGAGCTCTCCCGCACCCTGCCTGTGACTGAGGGAACAGAGAGGCTACAGTGAGATATCCAGGCTCCTCCCAGCTCCCAAAAAGAAACAATTTAGGGAGAAAAGTCTGCAGAAAGCATCCTACCCACCCTGCTCTCTGCTCCTGCTCAGTCCGAAGGCATGGAGCCAGGACATCCTGGAAGGAGAAAGAGAAATGGAAGCCCACTCTGCCAGAGGTCCCCCAAGGAGCGGGCCAGGCAAGACACCACCAAAGTCAGGCCCAGGAGAGCCTGGGGTTACCCACAGGGGATTGGGAAGCAGTTCCAGTCGGCTGGGCACAGGAGAGACAGGTTACAGAGCAATGGTTCCTGGGAAACCCTGGGGAAGGAAGAACAGAGTGAGCAGGTCCCTTGATGCTTGAACACGGTGGGTTTTTTTTGTTTTTCTGTGCAACTGGGTCCCCAGAATAGAGATTTTTTTCAGATGTGAACTGGAGTTGGAGAAGAAAAGAATCAAAGAAACAGCATGTTTCCCCTCCAGAAGTGGATGATCAGGGCTTATTGATAGAAAGAAGGGAAGTAGGAAGGAAAGAAAGAAGGAAGAAAGGATGGAAGGAACCCGCCTGAAACCCCTAGCCAAGAGCCAGGACACTCTTCACTCATCGCCCTCTGCAGCTCCACATGTAGCAATCCTGCCAACCCCTGGTCCATTCCAAGGTCTTCTCTGGACAACCTGATCCCCACCTTTGGTGGGACATTTTCCCTGCCTTTGTGGTGTCAAAAGAAGCAAGTAAGGCCCTGGAGACTAGGATTCGGGAGATCTGACTTCTAATTCTGGTTCTGCTACTAGTTGCATCGACAAGTGTTTACTGGGGGCTTTCTAAGTACTGGGCCCTGTGCCAGACACTGCTGGGGGACAAGAGGGATAAGCCAGGATCCCTCCTCCAGGGATTCACAGTCTAGTGAGTTTTGAGGGAGACGGTGGGCAGACAGAAACTGCAGTCTGCAGTCAGTGCTGTGGGATTACGAGGAGGTGTTGGTTAATTTCAACCGGAGGAGTCTTGGAGGGCCTTGCCAGGGAAGGAGATTTCAGTGCAGGTCCTTGAACGTTGGAGGTGGGGCAGGGCAGAAGCATTGCAGATAGAAGAGACAACATAAGGATATATAAAGAAAGGAGAATGGAGATTGGGTCTGAGGACAAAATAATTTGATGTGGTGGCAGTGGAGCAGCAGGCTGGCACCATTTGCAGAGGGATGAGGACTATGAATTTTATTATCTCTGCAAGGGGGACACAGTAGTGGCAGGAAACAGTAAGGAAACAGTAGTGGCAGCTGAATGCAGAATCCATGAATGTAAATATTCTGTCTTTGTACAGACCCTGGCAAAGAGTAGGTATCCAAGAAAGGTTTGTTGATTGAATGAAACGTGTATAATAGTTTGGAGAAAATGAGGTGGATATGAGGTTTTTCCATTACCTATTGCTGCATAACAGCCATCCCAAGATCCAGTGGTTTAGTTGGATATATTTTGCTCATGGATTTGCAACTGGGGTAGTTTCCACCAGGACCACTTTTCTCTGCTTTACTCCAAACTAGAGACTGGAAGGTTCATCTACTTACGTTTGGTGGTTGGTGCTGGCTGTTGGCTGGGACCTCAGCTAGGACTGGGGCCAGACAGCTACACAACGCCCTTCTGTGTGGCCACTTGGCTCCCTCACAGCATGGTGGCTGTGTTCCAAGGGCCAGTGTCCCAAGAGAAGACCAGTCAGCAGCTGTATCTCCTTGAATAACTTAGCCTTAAAAAATCACATAAAACAACTTCTGCTGTAATCGTGACCCATCAGATGCAAGGAGAACAAACACAGACCCCCACCTCTCAGTGGAGGGGTGTTGCTGTCACACTGGAAGAAAAGCATATGTATTGGCACGACCACCTTGGGAAAATATCATCTGCCACATAGAGCAATACAATAGTCCAAGGGAGAGATGCCCAACACTTGAACCAGGTCAGAGGTGATGGAAAAGGGCCCATTTGTTGTGTAACTTTAGGAGTACCACTAAATCTCACTTTCCTTACCTGTAAAATGAGGAGACCAAACAAGCTGATCTCTGAGATCCCGTCCAGCTCTAGCAGTGAGTGATTCCTTAATTCCACACAGCAACACACCCACCCATGAGTGGTTCCTCTGTTTCTCCTCAATAGCCATCTTCACCTCCACCTCTTGCCTCTGCTCTCTCATCCTGGGTGCACTTGGAGCCAATGGTTACTCCACAAATAGCACCATGATCCATCCTGCATATTTATGTCAGACTAAAAATAAGTGGTGCAGGAGACCCCTTAGGACAAGATAGAAGCCCCCAAGACTGATCAATCTCCCATTTTATCTGCTGTGTTTGCATCACAGTAGCATCTAACTGGAAACCACAAACACAGGGAATTCATTATCTAACCGGGAAAAGAACCAATAGGCATGAAAAAACTTGGATATGAAATGTCAGAAGAACAATCTGGTGATGTTGAGGATACGTGGAGGGGTGTTCAGAAGAAGGAGGGCTCTGAGTGGGCTGGGTCAGCTCGGAAAATTTCCTGGGCGATTTTGGTCCTTCTGCATGGTAAGGGCTTTCTCAGGTACAAAGGAAGGTGGTGAACATCTTCATAAAGCAAGATCCCAAGAGGAGTCAGGTGTGGGTTTCCCCACCAATCTATACTTACCCCCAGATGAGAAAGAGAAGGGGCCAGTTTCAGTTTCCTCTGCCTGAAAACTTAATAGTCATCTGTTCCTTTGATTTAAAGACTGGGATTTTTAGACACAAGAAGGGGCTTCAAGTGAGGCTGCAAAACTTAGCAAGTACTAGAAGCTCCAGAATTACTATATAGGAGGGACTGATGGGGAGAAAGAATCCTATTATAAGGAGGCTGGGACATTTGTCTGAAGGTTGAATTTGCATGTATTCCTTTTTAAATGTATTTACTAAGCACCTAATGTGTACCTAACACTATTCTAGAAAATAGGTTGGTTTTGTTTTAAAAAATGCCCTGAGAGTTTGCAGAACTAGTGCACTGTTTTGACATATATTAGGGGGTTTATTTTTGAGTGCCTTCAAAGGATTAAAAAATATGAAGAACCAAGACATGCTTTGGGCAACCTTGCCAGGAAAGCTGGCCCTGGAGGAGATCCCAAGCTCACTTGGCTACTCAATGCCTCCAGCCAGGTTGGAGCTTTGTCTCTGTCCAAGGTGCTGAAAATACTTTACGGCAGGCTCAGCAGAAAACCAGGGAGGGCAGCCCAGGTGACAAGACTGAGGCACTCTTCAGGACACAGTGCATTAGATGGTCACCCCAAATCCTGAAAATGCCTCTGGAGCTGGACAGTAGCTCCTGGAGGCAGCACGGGGTGAAGCAAGAGCTGGGTTTGCCAGTCAATGCTGAGAAAACCATGTCTCATGTGCTTTCAGAGTGTGCCTTCCTCCCTCACTCCTCTGACAGCCATCAGGAAAAGATATGAATAAACCCCTGAACTTTACACTTGCAACTCTTGGGATTTCCTTTGGGAGTTTCTGTTGCTTTATGAAATATTAGAGCCAGAAGCAAACACTTTCATATATTAGACAATAAAACAGATATTCACAGTGACAAGGACTCCGCCTCAAGGTTGTGCCACAAGTTAGAAATGGAGCTGGACATAAAATAGTGTCTCCTGGTTCTTAGTTAAGTGATTTTTCCACCACACCAGGCCAGGTGGGAGATTACATACCACATATAACAAGAGCTAAAGAAATTTGAGATATGTGTGTGAGAGAGAGAGAGAGACCAGAGAACTCCAGATACAGAGGTTGCTCTGTCAGCTCTCCAGAACTTTTGCTGTTCATTCTGCTGATATCGGGCAGAATTAAGAGCCTACCCCAGCTTGGAATAAAAATGCTAACCCAACACTAGCTTCATATCCTAGCCCATCCCAAGGATCATCAGCTGCTGAGTCAGCCAACACCAAGGACCTGAGAAGAGAACTCAGGTTCAAATAGGTCTTGCATGGTCAGGAACGGTGGCTTACACCTGTAATCCCAGCACTTTGGGAGGCTGAGGCGGGAGGATGGCTTGAGCCCAGGTGTTCAAGACCAGCCTAGGCAACATAGCGAGACCTCATCTCTACAAAAAGAAAAAATTAGTTGGGTGTGATGGCACACACCTGTAGTCCCAGCTATTTAGCAAGATGAAGCAAGAGGATCGCTTGAGCCAGGTAAGTCAAGGCTGCAGCTACCTGTTAACTTTTCTTTTTCTGAGATGGGGTCTCACCCTGTCTCCCAGGCTGGGGTGCAGTGACACAATCATGGCCCACTGCAGCCTTGACCTCCCGGGCTCAAGTGATCCTCCCACTTCAGCCTCCCAAGCAGCTGGGACTACAGGTGTGCGCCATCATGCCTAGCTAATTTTTGCATTTTTTTTCAGAGACAGGGTCTCACTATGTTGCCCAGTCTGGTTTTGACCTCCTGGGCTCAAGTGATCCACCCTCCTCAGCCTCCTAAAGTACTGGGATTACCGGCATGAGCCACCATGCCCAGGTGCAGTGAGCCGTGATAGCACCACTGCACTCCAGCCTGGGTAACAGAGTGAGACCTTGTCTCAAAAAACAAAAACAAAAACAATAAACAAACAGGTCTCCCACTCCATCTTCTCCCTGATATACCCACAAACAATTATCCAGAGCTTTCTATGTGCCCCCCACTGAGAAGTGTTCCTAAGGAAATATATGATATACAATACAGTCCCTGGCCTTACAAAATTTGCAATTCGTTGAGAAGACAATATTTTCACCCATGATTAGACAATATTACAGGAGCCAAATACAAATAATGGCAGCTGACAAGAGAAGTTACACAGTCCTAGATCCCAAGTCTAAGAAGTGGTGCAGACCATGAATGCTTTTTCTTTTTCTAAAAATGTTATTCATTTTTGTAAAATAGAGACAGGATCTCCCCATGTTGCCCAAGCTGGTCTCAAACTCCTGGGCTCACGCGATCCTCCCACCTGGGCCTCCCAAGGTGCTGGGATTACAGGTGTGAGCCACGGCGCCCGGACAGACCATGAATGCTTTGACTTCAGGGTCTGAAGGAATCGTTTTAAGGCCAGAAGGATAAGGGAAGGCTTCACAAGGGAGGAAGGCTTCGCAAGGGAGGAAGGCTTAGGGAGAATTTGGCTGAGCTGAGAATTGTGGTCAGGACCTCATCTCTGTCCCTCTGGGGGACCAGCAGTCCAGTGCAGGGCCAGACAGAGCCAGTGAGGGTGTGAAGGTGACGGCAGAGGCCTATTGCAATGCTGGGGCGCTAAATGTCCAGGAAGAGCGCATTCGATCTTTCCCGGCTGAAGAAGAACAGGCCCTGAGAGCTCCCCCTTCTGGATCCGCGCAGCAGAACAACATCTCCTCTAGGAAGTGGGCTCAGCAGTGCCCGGCTCAGCAGTGCCCGGCTCAGCAGTGCCCGGCTCAGCAGTGCCCAGCGCAGACGGGGCTGGTGCTTAGGAAACCAGACGACAGACTGGGAACCCCATTTCCTGGGAGCCCCTCGGAAGCCTCAGGTCATCATCAACAGCAAATATGTCAGGGACGCCTCTGGGAGGTCACTGGGAGTCGGGCATGTAATCCATTTGGGGAGAGCAGGAAAAAAGACAAGTCACCAATGACTGAAGGTTCTCCAGGGCTTGAAGTCAGGATTTCCACATCTCACAGATCAGCAGGGGGCTCTAAAGGCTGCTCCTCCCACCCTGGTCTGGAGAGAGGGCCCAGCCCCTCCTGGGGGCACCTGAGAGGGTTCTGTCCAGACGATCCCAGTGACAGTTGCTGTGGAATTTCCATGCTGGGCACACTTGAGGCCCAAAGCTCCGATTCCCAAGAGGCGCCACAGCAACCATGCCAGGAAACTGGGCCAGGCTGAGGGTGGCAGGAGAGGGAGACAGGAGGAGGCAGGAAGGGGGCAGGGCCTGTCAGATGGATCCCTGACAACCATCCGTCTCAAGTCCGAGGTAACCTTATATCTTTGCCTCAGCAGATAGGATGACTTTGTATGTAGGGCCTTCAGAGCCCAAGACAGGGCACCTATGGTGAGCATTCAGGAGGCCTCAGCCTGCCCCTGAAACCCCCTCGTTCTCACTCTGGATCCCCGGAATAAAGGACAATTTCGGCCAGGCGCTGTGGCTTACGCCTGTAATCCCAGCACTTTGGGAGGCCGAGGCGGGCGGATCATGAGGTCAGGAAATCGAGACCATCCTGGCTAACACGGTGAAACCCCATCTCTACTACAAATACAAAAAAATTAGCTGGGCTTGATGGCGGGAGCCTGTAGTCCCAGCTACTCGGGAGGCTGAGGCAGGAGAATGACGTGAACCCGGGAGGCGGAGCTTGCAGCGAGCTGAGATCACGCCACTGCACTCCAGCCTGGGCAACAGAGCGAGACTCCATCTCAAAAAAAAAAAAAAAAAAAAGGAGGAAATTTCAAGTTCCCACGGATGGGAAAGCCTTCATATCCACACAGATGCTCTTGGCCCAAATTAGCTTTGGAGGGGCAGGGCCCAGATGAGGAGGCTGGTCAGTGAGGGAGCCCAGGATGCACAACCCATGGACAACTGCAAAACTGTGAGGGGGGGAGCTCCCCAGCTGGGGAGCAGGGAGGGGGCACAGGGAGATGCTGCCCCGCCCTCAGGTGGGCTCCCTGGGGCAGAGCCTGGTGAACCTCTTCCAGAGACGCTTCTGCCTCCTGGCTGACAGACCCAGTGACCTGGAAACCCAAGACCTTACCCTGGCAGTGGCAGGGGTCTGCCAGCCTCTGGGGGCTCTTGGGAGTCTGGACCAACTTCCACCTTCCCAAGGGAAATGCAAGAATCTCCAGGCCTTGATCAACCTTCAGGTTTAGATTCTTCCTTCAACACCACTGCCCTGAGTGTGTGTGTGTGTGTGTGTGTGTGTGTGAGAGAGAGAGAGAGAGTGCACGTATGCATGGATGTATGTGTGTGTGTCCGTTTGTTCAGGCTGCTGTAAGAAAACACCAAGGACCGGGTGGCCTAAAGACAACATAAATTTATTTCTCACAGTTCTGGATGCCGCAGTCTAAGATCAAGGTGCTGGCAGATTCCATGTCTGGTGAGGACCCACGGTTCATAGACAGTGCCTTCTCACTGTGTCCTCACATGATGGAAAGGTCTGGTGAGGACCCATGTTCATAGACAGCGCCTTCTCACTGTGTCCTCACATGATGGAAAGGTGAGGGATCTCTCTGGGGTTTTTTTCTTAAGGGCACGCATCCTATTCAGGAAGGTTCCTCCCTCACGATCTCAACACCTCCCAAACACCCCGCCTCCTAACACCATCACCTTGGGGGCTAGGATCTCAACTTATGAATTTGTGGGGAAATCAAACGTTCCCCGAAACATTTGTGTGTGTAAGAGAGTATGCATGGATGTATGTGTGTGTGACTGTGCATGCATGCATGTATATATGTGTATGTGTGTGCATGCATGCATGGATATATGTGTAAGAAAGTGTGCATGCATGCATGGATGTATGTGTGTGCGTGTACGTGTGTATGTGAAGATACCTCCTGAGCCTTCGGTTTGACACACCCCATGTGGTCTGTGCAGGAAGCAGGGAGGCGCAGATTTGTCCCAATCTGCTCCTCTGGGGGTGGGCCCAAATGAGCCACCTTGGGACCCCAGATGGCTGGTGTAGACCTACCACCCGATGCCGTTGGCTCCTTTCCTATCCCCTGGGTCTCCCCCTCCCTTCGTGGTGTCTGATCCCACGATTGTGCTGAAATCGCTCCTCCTCGGCTCTCTGCTGCCCTCATGTGGCTGTCTCAAGAAGGGCTGGGGCTACCAGGGGGCGCCCAGGATCAACACAGGAGCCCCTTCAGACCGGCAACCGCGTCCACAGCCCGGAACCCTCAGCATCCCAGAAGCCGCCCCAACGCCCTCACCAAAGGCTCAGCACCAATTCTGCAATCTGGAAGCTGAGCAAATCTCTCCGCCCCCCAGCACTCAGCATGAGTTACATCCTCGGGAGGGGGAGGCCTGGCGGCAGCTGCTCCCCGCCCCTCTCCCGCTGCTCCCGCCTCCCTTCCCTCCTTTCCCCGCTCCCCACCCGTCCTTGCCAGCAGGCAGGAAGGAAGCTGCTCATAGTGCAAGGGTGGGGTACTTCCAGCTCACACTGAACAGCCCCGGGCTGGGCTATAAAGAGTCAGGGACTTCCGCTCAGTCACCCCTGCCCTCACCACCCAGGCCCCCATGCACACACCCCAGGCCCAAGGCCTTCCCTTCCCAGCACAGCCCTCCAAGGTCAAGGCGTCCCCCGCCCAGCCCTGCAGAGCACTCTGGTCTGAGAGGGAAGGCAGGGGCAAGATTTGCCGCCTCTTTGGCATTATGGAGGGGGCAGGGGGCACAGGGCACAGCCCTCCCCAGGGAGGGATCCCTACTCACCCACAGAAGGCTGTCACCTTACCCCTGGGGTCTGGGCCAGCCCTCCCCGAGGCGGAAACACAGCCACTGTCAGGGACAAGGGGGCTCAGTTCCCAACCAGATCATCTCCAAAGCCCATTCAGCTTCAGATCTCATGATTGAAGATGGAAATTCTTTCAGCCGAACACCAAATCTCCAACCTTGAAAACTGTTTTTTCGGAAAGTCCTCTTTAAAACATGGTTACCAATATGAGCAGTCAGCCACTAAGATGCATGGGCATCATTCTTGGCAGGGCTGCAGGCATAGAGCAGGCCAGCACCAGGCAGAGCCCTGGGGACGGCAGGCCTCCTCCGACAGGCGGGGGAATCAACTGTTCTCATCAGAGCACCCTGATGGAAGGCAGGACACTCCGGACAACACTGGCCACGGCCCAAGAAAGGGGAAGCAGGGAATCCCCTGTCCAGAGAGCATTCATCTCTGACTTTTTCTGTCTGTTTAACTTTTTTTTTTCCTCCTTTTCTTAAGACCCTGCCATGGCATCCTCTGCCCCAATTCAAACCCAATCCAGGCCTACTCTGACCCTCAGCTTTCAGCGCTGACTGTACTGAACTGGACCCCATCCTCCCTGTGACCCTCAGCCTTCAGTGCTGGCTGTACTGAACTGTAACCCATCCTCCCTGTGGCCACAGAGTGCTCCTTCTTGCACTCCTCCCCTTCACCTAGACTGACTTCTTTCTGCCCACACAGACCCATCTAGCCTCAGCCAATTCCCTTCTCAGTGGACCCTCTCCATTGCCTCCAGAGCACAGCTTCCAGTCCCCAGGCGGCTGCACACATTTGCAACAAAACAAGCCAATGTATGAAGCAATCCCACTCAGTGCAGGAGCTCAACCCAGCAGAGGATCCCCACAGAGAGGAACTGACCTGTGTCTTCCAGAGCACACAGGTTCAGAGCACACAGGTTCATTTAAGTGAGAACCCACACTTACAGAGCAAGCTGCCCAAAAACCACGACCAGGAGGGCCCAGAGAAAGAGCTGTCCCCGGGGCCTTGGGGACAGGGTGACAGCCACCCAGAGATCATGGAGAAGGGGACGTAAGGAAGACCTCACAGAGGAGTCATCCTGCGACTGTGTTGGTTGGGTCCTTCAGGAAGCAGAGTCCCAGGAGTTGGAAGCATAAGAGGAATACTGCGGGCAATGCCTGAGAAAGATAACAGGGACCGGGAGCAGGAGTGAGTTGGGCAGGGGAAGGATCAGGCCCACAATGCCAGGCTCACACCTGCAGAGGAGGGAAGAAGAAGAAGGGCCTCACATCAGCCCAGCGGGGGATGTTACGCCCACAGACGCCCCGGGGCTCAGTTACTGTCTAAGTGTTAGAAATAAATTTTCGGTGCCACAAAAGAAATAGCACTCAGATATAAATGTTCCCAGCAAGGCAATTTTACTTCTATAGAAGGGTGCATCTCACAGATGGAGCAATGGCAAGAGCACACCTGAACAAGGGAAGGGAAGGGGTTTTTATCCCTAAGGCAGGTAGCCCCTACAGCTGTGTTGTTCCCCTATTGGCTAGGGTTGGACCACACCGTCTGAGCTAATTGTTACTGGCTATTTTAAAGAGAGCAGGGGTAAGAGCCGGATTGGCAGGGTAAGTAGTTTGGCAGGAAGGACGGTCACAGAACAGGTGACTCAGGATGACTCAGGTCAGAGCAGGTGACCAGTGGTGACTCAGTTCGGAGCAGGTGATAGAAGCTAGGAGGGGGTTGTTTACTGAAACTAGGGGCAAGGAGACGAAGAGAACATGAAAGTTAAACTTTAAGATGAAGAACAAAGCTGAACATACTGATGCATTGGATCTTTGGAGAGGATCTCAGAACTCATTGTACTTAATTTACAGGCTAAAACCTTAGAAGAGGAATTTATTATATCCTACACAAGACTCCAGGGAAGCACATGGCCTTGGACTGAAGGCTGGCATCTGGAAGCTGTCAGCCACCAGCACCTTCTGCAGCAGGTACCTGCTCTCTAAGAGGGAGGCCTGGGTGGTGCACCTCCAGAGCTGCCCAGGCTGGGCCTCAAGGAAGAAAAAGATTTTCATTTGTCAGAGGCGGAAGGGAGAGGTGGAGGGAACAGCACAGCAGCGGCCCAGGGGCAGGGAAGCACAGGACCATTAGGGAGACACGAGAAAGCCCATTTGTCTAGAACAGAGGATTCAAGCAGTGCACCAAGGAAAATGAGGGCCAGGCCAATGTGCTGGAGTGGCTTTGTTCTTGGCTGAGGGTTTTGGGTAGTGCCAAAGCGTAAGGTAAGCCCTGCTTTCCAGAAGAATCTAGCAGAGTGTGGAGCCCAGATGGGACTGGAAGGCCTGGGAGGGGTCAGGTGGCCACAGGGACGGGCCACAGCCAGTGGTGCAGGCAAGAAGACAATGGCCATCCATGGTGGCTCACACCTGGAATCCCAGCCCATTGGGAGGTCGAGGCAGGTGGATCACCTGAGGTCAGGAGTTCGAGACCAGCCTGGTCAACATGGTGAAACCCTGTCTCTAATAAAATTATAAAAATTAGCCGGGCGTGGTGGTGGGTACCTGTAATCTCAGCTACTCAGGAGGCTGGGTCAGGAGAATCGCTTGAACCCAGGAGGCGGAGGTTACAGTGAGCTGAGATAGCACCATTGCATTCCAGCCTGGACAACAAAAGCGAGACTCTGTCTCAAAAAAAAAAAAAAATTAGCCAGGCGTGGTGGTGGGTGCCTGTCGTCCTCGGGAGGCTGAGGCATGAGAATCACTCCGGGAGGCAGAGGTTGCAATGAACCAAGATCACACCACTGCACTCCAGCCTGGGTGACAGAGCAAGACTCTGTCTAAAAAAAAAAAAAAGACAGAAGGATGTCAGCATCTGATGCTGCCTGTCACCTTGACCCTGAGGATGCCAGTCACAGCTCCATTAACTGGGACCTAGGAAAATGAGTCATCCTTGGTCATGCACATTTCAAATGGTGGCTTAATATGGAAGCCAGACTTGGGATCTGTTGTCTCCTCCAGCATGGTAGAAGATGCCTGAAAAGTAGGGGCTGGATCCCATCCCCTGCCTCACTGGGAAGGCGAGGTGGTGGGGTGTGGTGGGGCCTCAGGCTTGGGGTCATGGGACAAAGCCCAGGCTGAATGCCGCCCTTCCATCTCCCTCCTCCTGAGACAGGGGCAGCAGGGCACACTAGTGTCCAGGAGCAGCTTATGAGGCCCCTTCACCCTCCATCCTCCAAAACTGGCAGACCCCACCTTCTTGGTGTGACCCCAGAGCTCTGAGCACAGCCCGTTCCTTCCGCCTGCCGGCCCCCCACCCAGGCCCACCCCAACCTTATCCTCCACTGCTTTTCAGAGGAGTCTGGCCAACACAAATCCTCTTGTTTGTTTGTCTGTCTGTCTGCTGCTCCTAGTCTCTGCCTCTCCCAGTCTCTCAGCTTCCGTTTCTTTCTTAAACTTTCTCTCAGTCTCTGAGGTCTCGAAATCACGAGGCTTCGACCCCTGTGGACCAGATGCCCAGCTAGTGGCCTTTCTCCAGCCCCTCAGATGGCACAGAACTACAAACCCCAGCATGCACTCTGGCCTGAAGTGCCTGGAGAGTGCTGGTGTACCCCACCTGCATTCTGGGAACTGTAGTTTCCCTAGTCCCCCATGCTCCCACCAGGGCATCAAGCTCTTCCCTGGCCGGCTGACCCTGCCTCAGCCCTAGTCTCTCTGCTGACCTGCGGCCCCGGGAAGCGTGCGTCACTGAATGACAGGGTGGGGGTGGAGGCACTGGAAGGCAGCTTCCTGCTCTTTTGTGTCCCCCACTTGAGTCATGGGGGTGTGGGGGTTCCAGGAAATTGGGGCTGGGAGGGGAAGGGATACCCTAATGTCAGACTCAAGGACAAAAAGTCACTACATCCTTGCTGGGCCTCTATCCCCAAGAACCCAAAAGGACTCAAGGGTGGGGATCCAGGAGTTCTTGTATGTATGGGGGGAGGTGAAGGAGAGAACCTGCATGACCCTAGAGGTCCCTGTGGTCACTGAGAGTGTGGGCTGCCATCCCCTGCTACAGAAACGGTGCTCACCTTCTGCCCAACCCTCCAGGGAAAGGCACACAGGGGTGAGGCCGAAGGCCCTTCCGTCTGGTGCCACATCACAGAAGGACCTTTATGACCCCCTGGTGGCTCTACCCTGCCACTCCCCAATGCCCCAGCCCCCATGCTGCAGCCCCAGGGCTCTGCTGGACACCTGGGCTCCCACTTATCAGCCTCAGTCCTCACAGCGGAACCCAGGCGTCCGGCCCCCCACCCTTCAGGCCAGCGGGCGTGGAGCTGAGGCTTTAGAGCCTCCCAGCCGGGCTTGTTCCTGTCCCATTGTGTATGGGATAGGGGCGGGGCGAGGGCCAGCACTGGAGAGCCCCCTCCCACTGCCCCCTCCTCTCGGTCCCCTCCCTCTTCCTAAGGAAAAGGCCAGGGCTCTGCTGGAGCAGGCAGCAGAGTGGACGCACAGTAACATGGGCAACTTGAAGAGCGTGGCCCAGGAGCCTGGGCCACCCTGCGGCCTGGGGCTGGGGCTGGGCCTTGGGCTGTGCGGCAAGCAGGGCCCAGCCACCCCGGCCCCTGAGCCCAGCCGGGCCCCAGCATCCCTACTCCCACCAGCGCCAGAACACAGGTAAGGGCCAGGCAGCTAGGAGCAGGTGGGCAACAAGGGTGGTGTCAAGGCCTGAAGCCTGGGGCTGGGAAGGTCTGGAACTTGTAGCTGAGTCGGGAGGGCCAGGTCACAAATGCAAAAGGGCTATTAATGTGCATAGAACAGGACAGTCTGGGAGGCTCAGAAAGGAGACCAGGATCAGAGTCGGCAGGTGAAAGCTGGGAGTAAGGGTGCCAGCTATAGAATCTGGCCAGGGTTTGAATGCTGCTCTGCCGCCAGGAGCTGTTTGACTTTGAGCAAGTTACTTAATCTCTCTGAACCTCCATTTATATAAAACGAGATATGGCAATACTTACTCCATGGGGAAGTAAGTTTCTAGCTCACAGCAAGCCTTCAACAGCAGCGATGATTATTTAGCTGGAGAAGAAAGGAGCTGACAGCAGTGGTTACAGGAGTGAGAAAGTGGGGTCTCCCAGAAGAGGGAGAGAGTTGGGCAGGAAACTCGGGCCCTTGGGGTAAGCAGGCTGAGAAGACAGAGCCACCAGGCTTTTTTCCCCTGCTCCAGCCCCCTCTCCTCGTGGCTGTCACCCGAAAACTGGACCATGCAGTTCCCACAAGAGTCCTCCCGGGGGTAGAGGTCCCAGGAGGGAGGAAAGACCCGGAGGCCTGGTGGGGTGCCAGGCCGGGGGCAGGCTGGGGCTGCAGGCAGCTATGCAGGGAAGGCTGAGGGCCGGGGCCCTGCTGCTCAGGCGCACCCTTGGCCTGAGTCCCTCCCTTCCTCCCTGCCGCTGGTGGCTCTGGGAGGAAGTGATAAGGCCTGCGAGGCTTCCCTTCACACATGGGGCTGCTGTCAGGAGGGGTTGTGAGTGCGGAGGGAAATCAGAGCTGAGGAATCCCTGCAGGGCTTCCCTCCACTCAAGCACCAGGCTCTGTCCCCCTCAGGGTAGGGCTTATAGCAGCTTTGCGGGGGGTGGACACCCCATCTCCAGAAGAGGTGAGGTGGGCGCTGCAGGTGGGATGCGAACTTAGCCTCGGGTCAGGGGCTCAGGAGCTCAGCACCAGCAGCCCCTGCAGCCCAGGACCCTGGTCTATAAACGGAGGCACAGCTCGCCTCTAGCTCCTAAGGCATGGGGAACGCCAGAAGGCATGCGGCAGGTGGGCTGTGAGATCGCCAGTGCTGTAACAGGGGCCTCCGGGTGACATCTGGGAAGGCTGAAAGGAAACAAACCCTTCCTGATGACCCTATCCCTGGCTCCCAACAGCCCCCCGAGCTCCCCGCTAACCCAGCCCCCAGAGGGGCCCAAGTTCCCTCGTGTGAAGAACTGGGAGGTGGGGAGCATCACCTATGACACCCTCAGCGCCCAGGCGCAGCAGGTAAGGCCGGCATGCCCTGTCCCCATCGTCTCCAGGGAAAGGGTGGGTAAGGCCTGGCCTCAGATGGGGCCGGAGAGGGAAGCTCAACCCTTCTTTGAATTGGTCCCTTGTTTCCAAAAAGAGGAGAGGACTGGGAAGAACCAGAGGAGTTGAGGGACATGCACGGGACTTGGGTGACCCTCAGCCTCCAGCCTTACCCCCAACCCTGGCTCAAACTCTCCCCCATCCCACCCCTGCACCCCTTTCCCCCCTCCCACCCCTGCACCCTTCCTCCCTCTCCCCCCGTCCCCTGCCTGCATTCCTCCTCCCTCTCCCCATCTCACCCCTGCACCCCTCTTCCCTCTCCCACCCCTGCACCCCTCCTCCCTCTCCCCGTCCCACCCTGCACTCCCGCCCTCTCCAGCGTCCCACCCCTACACCCCTCCTCCCTCTGCCCCATTCCACCCCTGCACCCCCTCCTCCCTCTGCCCCGACCCACCCCTGCACCCCTCCTCCCTCTCCCCCGTCCCACCCCTGCATCCCTCCTCCCTCTGCCCCGTCCCACCCCTACACCCCTCCTCCCTCTCCCCCATCCCACCCCTAAACCCCTCCTCCCTCTCCCCTGTCCCATCCCTGCACCCTTCCTCCCTCTCCCCGTCCCATCCCTGCACCCTTCCTCCCTCTCCCCGTCCCATCCCTGCACCCCTCCTCCCTCTGCTCCCATCCCACCCCTGCACCCCTCCTCCCTCTGCCCCTACCCCACCTCTGCACCCCTCCTCCTTCTCCCCATCCCACCCCTGCACCCCTCCTCCCTCTGCCCCTACCCCACCCCTGCACCCCTCCTCCTTCTCCCCATCCCACCTCTGCACCCCTCCTCCCTCTCCCCTCTCCCACCCCTGTACCCTTCCTCCTTCTCCCCGTCCCACCCCTGCACTTCTCCTCCCTCTCACCCATCCCACCCCTGCACCCTTCTTCCCTCTCCCCCATCCCACCACTGCACCCCTCCTCCCTCTCCCCCTGTTCCACCCCTGCACCCCTCCTCCCTGCCCCCAACTCCCATCCCACCCCTGCACCCTGGCCTGTCCTGACCTTTGCACTCCCTCGACCCAGGATGGGCCCTGCACCCCAAGACGCTGCCTGGGCTCCCTGGTATTTCCACGGAAACTACAGGGCCGGCCCTCCCCCGGCCCCCCGGCCCCTGAGCAGCTGCTGAGTCAGGCCCGGGACTTCATCAACCAGTACTACAGCTCCATTAAGAGGTGACAGCTTCCCGGACGCCACAGCCTCCCTTGTCCCACTGAGGCCCCAGAAACCCCGTGACGACCTTCCCATGACCCCCTCCCTTCCCAGATCCTAACACCACGTGGGCCCCTCCCGCCCTCCCCCAGCACTTGCACAAAGCCTGGAGGAGGGCCTCCCTGTCCCACACAACTTCCTGCTTGTCCCCTTCCCACCCCTCTCCTCCCCAGGAGCGGCTCCCAGGCCCACGAACAGCGGCTTCAAGAGGTGGAAGCCGAGGTGGCAGCCACAGGCACCTACCAGCTTAGGGAGAGCGAGCTGGTGTTCGGGGCTAAGCAGGCCTGGCGCAACGCTCCCCGCTGCGTGGGCCGGATCCAGTGGGGGAAGCTGCAGGTGCGGCTGGCCAGCGACTGAGAGACCCGGGCGCTACCAAAAGGGGAGCGGGGTGGCGGGGCAGTTCCTAAGGCTTCCCGGGGGCTGGGAGGTCCCAAACTGTGGGGGAGATCCTTGCCTTTTCCCTTAGAGACTGGAAAGGTAGGGGGACTGCCCCACCCTCAGCACCCAGGGGAACCTCAGCCCAGTAGTGAAGACCTGGTTATCAGGCCCTATGGTAGTGCCTTGGCTGGAGGAGGGGAAAGAAGTCTAGACCTGCTGCAGGGGTGAGGAAGTCTAGACCTGCTGCAGGGGTGAGGAAGTCTAGACCTGCTGCAGGGGTGAGGAAGTCTAGACCTGCTGCGGGGGTGAGGAAGTCTAGACCTGCTGCGGGGGTGAGGACAGCTGAGCGGAGCTTCCCTGGGCGGTGCTGTCAGTAGCAGGAGCAGCCTCCTGGAAAAGCCCTGGCTGCTGCTTCTCCCCCAAGAGAGAAGGCTTCTCCCGCCAGGCCAGTCCAGTGCAGCCCCTCACCCACACCCACTGCTACCCCAGTTCCCCTGCTTCGGCCCGCACCCTCCCTCACACCCCAGCCCACAGACTCGGGGCTGGCCTTAGTTACTGGAACGCCTGTGACCACAGCACTAAGAGAAGCAAGCTGCCCCATGGGGGACTTGGTCCCATGGCCTTGGCCTCCTTCACCATCACTGGCCGCCAAAGAGTTTGAAATAAAGCCACGTGCCCAGTGAATCCCAAAGGAACCTCAACTAAAATAAAAACAATCCTATCTGACACTTGCCTGACCCTCTAAGTCATTCAAAGCTTTAGCTCAACTTCGATCCATCTGAGCTGCCATAGTGGACCCCACTCAGAGCTGCGTCCCTCCCTTGACCCCAGGTTGGTCCCTGCCACTCCCCTGCCCCTGTCACTGACACATGTTTCCTCCTCCCTCAGGCAGGAGTGGGACCTCCCAGCCTCCTCCTGGGGCCTCCACTCAGAATGTCAGGATGAGCAGGGTCCTAGGAGGCCTCTGGTGCAGCCTTCCCTTCCCACCATCCATGTGCTCAAAGAGAATCACCCGTCCTTTCTTGAATGCCATGGATCATGGGGGATTTGCTGCCCACACTCCTAGGCGGCCTCTTAGACATCCGTTGGTGCCTAACCCAAGCATCAGTTTGGCAGAGGCCGAGTCCCTCCTCTGTACTGGATACCAAGTCAGCTTCCATAGGGATGGGGAGACACCTGGCCCAGGGAGGAGATGAGAAGCAGCCCGGATGGTGCTACATATGTCAGAGAGCAGGGCAGGAAGGGATCAGTGTGGCTGCCAATGGTCAGGAGGGCGCCATGGAGTGAACCATGGCCCCTGCCTCCTCACCAGCAGCTCCTCTGGAGCTGATACTCAAGACCCCCCGTCTCTCTCCTCACCCTCCTCTCCCGCTGCCTCGGCTGGCTCAGGTGTTCGATGCCCGGGACTGCAGGTCTGCACAGGAAATGTTCACCTACATCTGCAACCACATCAAGTATGCCACCAACCGGGGCAACCTTCGGTGAGTGCCCCCCACCATGCCAGGCCCCAGCCTTCTTCCCCAAGGCAGGGAAGGCGGGGCTCTGACCAGCTCTTTCCCCATGCGTGCCAGCTCGGCCATCACAGTGTTCCCGCAGCGCTGCCCTGGCCGAGGAGACTTCCGAATCTGGAACAGCCAGCTGGTGCGCTACGCGGGCTACCGGCAGCAGGATGGCTCTGTGCGGGGGGACCCAGCCAACGTGGAGATCACCGAGGTGGGCACCGAGGGCCACCCATGAGGGTGTCCCCAAGGTGGAGAATGAGGAAACCAGTGGGAGAAGGCTCGGGGGATCCAGGCAGGAAGAGGGGAGCCTCGGTGAGATAAAGGATGAAAAACACCAAAGGAGGGGTGCCTGGGTGGTCACGGAGACCCAGCCAATGAGGGACCCTGGAGATGAAGGCAGGAGACAGTGGATGGAGGGGTCCCTGAGGAGGGCATGAGGCTCAGCCCCAGAACCCCCTCTGGCCCACTCCCCACAGCTCTGCATTCAGCACGGCTGGACCCCAGGAAACGGTCGCTTCGACGTGCTGCCCCTGCTGCTGCAGGCCCCAGATGATCCCCCAGAACTCTTCCTTCTGCCCCCCGAGCTGGTCCTTGAGGTGCCCCTGGAGCACCCCACGTGAGCACCAAAGGGATTGACTGGGTGGGATGGAGGGGGCCATCCCTGAGCCTCTCAAGAAGGGCCTGCAAGGGGGTGCTGATCCCACACCCCAACACCCCCAGGCTGGAGTGGTTTGCAGCCCTGGGCCTGCGCTGGTACGCCCTCCCGGCAGTGTCCAACATGCTGCTGGAAATTGGGGGCCTGGAGTTCCCCGCAGCCCCCTTCAGTGGCTGGTACATGAGCACTGAGATCGGCACGAGGAACCTGTGTGACCCTCACCGCTACAACATCCTGGAGGTGAGGTGCGGGATGGGGCTCGGGCACCGAATGCACCTGTCCAAGGCAGGAGTCTGGCTCTCACTCCATCCCCAAAATGCCAGCCACGGGGACAATCAGAGCAGGTCCAGGGTTGCCTCCTAAATGGGAACTGAGGACAAGCTCTAGAACCACTGAAGCAAAGGGGTAGGGGGTGGCAGGGGTGTGTGTGGGGGTGTGAGTGGGTGAGTGTGAGAGTGTGGGTTTCTGGGGTGTGCAGTGGGTGAGAGTGTGGGCTTGTGGGGTGTGTAGTGGGTGTGAGACTGTGGGTTTGTAGGGGTGGGTGAGTGTGGGTGTGTGGGGGTAGGTGGGTGTGGGTTTGTGGGTGTGTATAGGCAGTGACTGTGAGACTGTGGGTTTGTGGGGGTAGGTGACTGTGGGTTTGTGGGGTGTGTAGGGGTGAGTGTGTGTGGGTTTGTAGGGGTAGGCGAGTGTGGGTTTGTGGGGTGTGTAGGGGTGAGTGTGTGTGAGTTTGTAGGGGTAGGCGAGTGTGGGTTTGTGGGGTGTGTAGGGGTGAGTGTGTGTGAGTTTGTAGGGGTAGGTGAGTGTGGGTTTGTGGGGTGTGTAGGGGGTGTGTGTGGGCTTGTAGGGGTAGGCGAGTGTGGGTTTGTGGGGTGTGTAGGGGCGAGTGTGAGAGTGTAGGTATGTGGGTGTGAGTGTGGATGTGTGTAGGCGGTGAGTGTGAAATTGTGGGTTTGTGGGGGTGGGTGGGTGTGAGTGTGTGGGTTTGTGGGTGGGTGTGGGTGTGAGTGGGTGGGTGAGGGGGGCATGGGGATGGGTGTGAACATGTAGTTGTTCTTTCAGGCATAGGACCCATAGCTCTAGAGCTTTCATCAGATTCTCAAAGGGGACCTTGACTCGGCAAAGGTTAAGACCCATTTTAGAGATGAGAAATTAAAGCCTGGAGCTGAGGAGCGACTGGCCCAAAGTCCCTCTCTGCTCTGAGGTGCCTTCGCAGGCAAAAACCTGAACCAGCCCCCTAGGCAGCCAGGCCTCCCAATGGACACCACTCACCTCACTCCTTCCAGCCATGTACGGGAAACAGAGATAGTCTCCCCACCCCACCCCCGTGATCACCTCTGTCCCTACCGATGCCACACACCCTTCTGCCCCAGGATGTGGCTGTCTGCATGGACCTGGATACCCGGACCACCTCGTCCCTGTGGAAAGACAAGGCAGCAGTGGAAATCAACGTGGCCGTGCTGCACAGTTACCAGGTGCAGAGGCCCAGACTGGCCAGGAAGGCAAAGGGTTTGCATACGGGGGCAGCAGGGGCGGGGGATGGAGGAGAGGCAGCCATTTAGAAACTAGGGCAGGATTTGGACAGGCAGAAGAAGTTCCGTAGTCCCAGTGCCATGGCGCACACTGGCCTGCGGTTCGGGGACAGGGCAGGTACTATTCCAGGCGCTGTCATCTGGTGGCTTACTGTGTGCCAGGGACCTTGCTGTTTACTGCATGCCCAGTCATGCTGATTCTCAGGGCATATTGGGTATTGCAGTTTGTGGGACCCGCTGGATCCTGGAAACAAATACCAGGATCAAGGGCACACCAGGAGTCGTAGTTTGAGGAAGCCGGGGCCTGCTGAGAATTTCTGTGGGCTATTTGGTTTGGGGACCAGGCATGCAGATGCTGGAGATTAGAGCTGCTTGTTGCATGTTGAACCTGCAGCATGACCATGCATGATGTGGTTTGGGGTGAGGGTGACATTGTGGTTTGAGGGGACACAGGGTGTGTTAGATATGGGGTAATCGAGGGCACATGTGGTTTGGGGTGACCGGAGTGGTGGAGGAAGAATGGGCGAGGTCTGTGGGTCTGGTTTGAGCCTCTCCCCCTCTCTCTCCCTTCCAGCTAGCCAAAGTCACCATCGTGGACCACCACGCCGCCACGGCCTCTTTCATGAAGCACCTGGAGAATGAGCAGAAGGCCAGGGGGGGCTGCCCTGCAGACTGGGCCTGGATCGTGCCCCCCATCTCGGGCAGCCTCACTCCTGTTTTCCATCAGGAGATGGTCAACTATTTCCTGTCCCCGGCCTTCCGCTACCAGGTGCCCACCCTAACTGGCTCTGCCAGCCTGGGCCCAGCTCTAATTCTAAGCAGCCCCTGGGGACCTCTAACCTTTCCTTTTCTTTACCTCCCCTCCCAACCCCATCATCTCTCTGCAGCCAGACCCCTGGAAGGGGAGTGCCGCCAAGGGCACCGGCATCACCAGGAAGAAGACCTTTAAAGAAGTGGCCAAGTGGGTCCCCTGGGAGCCCCGCTCTCCCACACACACCCTGGGGGCCCCACTCTCCCCCACACACCCTGGGGGACCCTGCCCCAGCAGTGTTCTGGGCCTACCACTCAGTATCCCAAAACCCTGTTGTGAGGGGGTTGGACCCTTGCCTGGGGAGGCCCTGCCTCTGTGCACCCAGGACACCCTCACACCTTCCTCTCCCGCAGCGCCGTGAAGATCTCCGCCTCGCTCATGGGCACGGTGATGGCGAAGCGAGTGAAGGCGACAATCCTGTATGGCTCCGAGACCGGCCGGGCCCAGAGCTACGCACAGCAGCTGGGGAGACTCTTCCGGAAGGCTTTTGATCCCCGGGTAGGGCTGAGCCCAGGGGAGCAGGGAGCTAGAAAGAGGGGGCTCTATCAGCATCTTCAGGGGTGCCCTGGAGGACAGGAAGTGTTACAAGTCAGGACTCATGAGGAACCCGGAACCACAGGTGTTCAGAGATCAAGTTGGGGCCTGAATCTTGCACTGCCAGGGAGGCCAGAGTGAGGAGGGCAGGGCCTCCGGGGGCCACAGCACCCAGGACATCTGTCTTCCCACCCACAGGTCCTGTGTATGGATGAGTATGACGTGGTGTCCCTCGAACACGAGACGCTGGTGCTGGTGGTAACCAGCACATTTGGGAATGGGGATCCCCCGGAGAATGGAGAGGTGAGAACTTCCAGGAAAGGGGCTGCTGGGAATGAGGAGAGACTCAGAATTGGAGTGACTGGGCAGGAACCTCTGCCCAACACACACACACACACACACACACACACACACACACACACACACACACACACACACACACACACACACACGCCAGGATGGAAAGGGAGATGCTAAGAGACCCCTGGAGCCTGAAACCCCACACAAGCTACGCTCCCAGCCCACCCATGTGGCTGCCTCCCTGCAAGCACATTTGCTTAACTGCGCGTCCCCAAGTCATTTCCATTATCAGTGCAAGTTTTTAATACAAGGAAGGCACATCCTGGCTGACCAAGAGGTTAGACTGTGCTCGGGCACTGACAAGAAAAACAGGGATACGTCACTGAGGGCGGCTTCTAGGATGCGGGTAATGTTTCTTAATGGGATACTGGTTACACAGGTGTGTTCAGTTTGTAAAAATCCACAGAGCTGTACATTTACAACATGTGCAACACTATTCCAGCATTTTATTTTATTTGTTTTATTTATTTTGAGAACCTATTTACGTTGCCCAGGCTGGCCTTGAACTCCTAGCCTCAAGAGATCCTCCTGCCGCAGGCTCCTTTTTCAAAAGAAGAAATTGAGCGCTGTTTAGATGCCAACATAGATTAAATAACTTCACTTTTTAAAAAGAAACACAAAGCTAGAGTACCATCATTGAATTCCTTCTCTTGCAAGCTTAGGTATCTCTGAGGTGCCCCAGGCTAGGCTCATTTCTGAGTCTTACCTGCTCCAGCTTCTAGGTGTTAAAGGCCTTATTAGCACTAAGTACTTCCTCAGTACTCTTTTTTCTTTTTTCCTTTGAGACAGGGTCTCACTTTGTGGCCCAGGCTGGAGTGCAGTAGTACAATCACGGCTCACTGCAGCCTCAACCTCCTAGACTCAAGCAATCCTCCCACTTCAACCTCCCAAGTAGTTGGGACTACAGGCGCATGCCATGATGCCTAGCTAATTTTTGTATTTTTTATAGAGATGGGGTTTCGCCATGTTGCCCAGGCTGGTCTCTAACTCCTGGGTTCAAGCAATCCACCTGCCTCGGCCTCCCAAAGTGCTGCGATTATAGACGTGAGCCACTGCACCTGGCCCTCAGTATCTTAAGCAAGTTGGAATCTCGTGAAACCCTTTTTGCTGCCTTAGTGTCCGTTTCAGCCCTCATTCTGACCTACCTTTTCAAGAAAAATAGCACCAGCAATTGACTTTTTTTTAGCATAAAGGTGTATAGACACCCATATAACCTACAGCCTTCACAAGGCATAGCACATTTTCACCACCCTGGAAAGTTCCCTCATCAGTTCCTCACGTGAATCCCTTCCCAGTCTGTCTCCCTGCCAGAAGTGTCTGTCACCACAGAATAGTTTCGCCTGCTCTAGAACGGCACCTAGATGGAAGCACGCAGTGTTGCGGCGTCTCCTGCTGAGGCTGTTTTTGAGGCGCACTCGTGTTGCTGCGTGACTCAGTATTTCACTCATTCTGCTGCTGAGTGCCGTTCATTGTGTGAATATCCCCAGTTTGTTTACCCATTCTCTTGTTGGTGACACTTGGGCTGTTTCCAGGTCGGGGCTATTATGAATAAACCTGTTATGAACATTCTTGTACCCGGCTTTTGTGGGCTTATGTTTTTATTTCTCTTGGGTAAATACCTAGGAGTAGAATTGGTAGGTCATAGGGTAGATGCATGTTTAATCTTTCACTTTTTTAAAAAATAAAACTGCCAGGCCAGGCGCGGTGGCTCACGCCTGTGATCCCAGCACTTTGGGAGGCCCAGGTGGGTGGATCACTTGAGGTCAGAAGCTCAAGACCAGCCTGGCCAACATGGCAAAACCCTGTCTCTACTAAAAATACAAAAATTAGCTGGGCATGGTGGCGCACGCCTATAGTCCTAGCTACTCAGGAGGCTAGGCGGGAGAATTGCTTGAACCTGGGAGGTGGAGGTTGCAGTGAGCCGAGATCACGCCACTGCACTCCAGCCTGGGTGACAGAGCAAGAATTCTACTTAAAATAAAATACAAATAAATAAAATAAAACTGTCAAACAGCAAAGCAAATTAAACTGCCCTTTAACATCTGTGCAGTTCAATGTATGTTAATTTTATCCCAAATTTTTAACAAATCTAGGAATACAGCTCACAGAAAATGGGGTATATTCACTAAAAATAAGGAATATTTATAGCAAATTTGTTTGTAATACCCCACACTGGAAACAATTCAAATGACCATCGACAAATACTGATAAATTGTGGTATATTCAAGTGCCATATCGCACTAAGTGTGAACGAAACACAACCACACACAACAGTGCAGGTGAATCTCAAAAAATGTGAAGAGAAGAAAAAGCCAGACCAAAGAATACATACTGTACTACAGGGTTCACTTTATATAAAGTTCAGAAACAGGCAGAACTAATCCACGGAGTTAGAAATTAGGAGAGGAGTTAGTCACTGGGATGGGGGTGGCAGTGACAGGAAGAAGGCACGAAGTTGGCTTCTAGGATGCGGGTAATGTTTGTTTGTTTGTTTGTTTGTTTGTTTTTGTTTTTGAGCTGGAGTCTCACTCTGTTGCCCAGGCTGGAGTGCAATGGCGTGATCTCGGCTCACTGCAACCTCCGCCTCCCCGGTTCAAGCGATTCTCCTGCCTCAGCCTCCCGAGTAGCTGGGATTACAGGTGCCCGCCACCATGGCCAGCTAATTTTTGTGTTTTTAGTAGAGACGCGGTTTCACCATGTTGGCCAGGCTGGTCTTGAATCCCTGACCTCAGCCTCCCAAAGTGCTGGGATTACAGGCGTGAGCCACCACGCCCAGCCACGGGTAATGTTTCTCGATGGGATGCTGGTTGCACAGGTGTGTTCAGTTTGTGAAAACTTACAGAGTTGTACATTTACAACATGTGTGCACCTCTGGACTTGTGTTGCACGTTGACAAAACATTCAAAAATGAAATTCAAATCGTTCTTGCTAACTCTGGCGCACTTGGGAACCAGCACCCAGAGGCATCTGCAGTTGAGCACCAGATGCAGTTCCTTCCAGCTTCCTTCCCCCTGGGAGGTCCGCTTGATGCCACTTCTTCATGGCAGCACAAACAAGGCCATGGTCTTCTGAGGAGGGCAACCTGCACAATGTCTGCTAGTGACCAGGACACTGCTGAAGGAACTGAGAGTTTGTCCACCCATGAAATCCACTAAAACAGGAAAGATTTTGCTCTAGCCGTTGTTAGCCAGGAGTGAGGAAAGAGCTGTGCCCTCCCCTGCAGCTGCGAGGACGATCTGCCTGCCCCAACAAGTGGGGATTCAGCAACTCCACTTCTAAGGATTACCCAGCTGAAGCATTTAAAAGTGGGAGCAAGGCACACGTACAAGGGCGTTTGAGAGAGCACCTGTTCCCAGACCACCGAGCTGCCCTTCAGTCTCAGTGAAGTACAATGTAGCCACTAAAAAGACTGAGGTCATGTTTTGGAAAGTCCAGGCCGGAGGATCGCTTGAGCCCAGGAGTTCAAGGCCAGACTGAACAACACAGCGAGACTCCATCTCTTCAGAAAATTTAAAAATTAACCAAGAGTGGTGGCACGCACCTATAGATCTAGCTACTAGGAAGGCAGAAAAATCCCTTAAGCCCAGGAGTCTGAGGTTACAGTGAATGATGATGGAGCCACTGCACCCCAACCTGGGCGACAGAGCAAGACCCATATCTAAAAACAATACTACTACTTACGTCAATATTGTTGTATTGACCTGGAGGGATGTCTGCAATAAATTATTGATTAAAACCAAGGAAGTACAGTATGGTACCACTTTTACTTAAAAAAAAACTATAAATATGCACATGCACGTAAGTTCAAGGAAAAAGGGCTGGAAGGTTAACACCTGTCAATGGCGCATATGCCCGGAGGGAAGATGGGGTGGTCTTTGTCTTATCACTTTACACATTTCTGTAATGTCATTTTTCAAAAACATCAGATCGCTTTTGAAATTTTCAAAACAAATAAAAATTAAGTTACAAATCAATAATAATGAGGATCAGCTGGTACAGTTTTAAACTTCTATGTAGTTTGAAATGAAACAAAACTAACCCTGATGCAAACACTCCCCTCGCCAGAGCTTTGCAGCTGCCCTGATGGAGATGTCCGGCCCCTACAACAGCTCCCCTCGGCCGGAACAGCACAAGTGAGTTGGGTGAGAGTTTGGGGGAGCTGGGGGAGCTGATGCATTTGGAGACACAAACAGAAAGGGGGTCTGAAAAGCTCTCCCTCTGTGCCTCAAGTCGTTTTCCCACCAAAAGCCAGGGCTCCAGGATGCCCTCCATTCCAGGCTGCAATGGCAGTCCAGACCTGCCTGCTTCTGAGAGCCGGGACAGTCCTGAGGTCTTCAGAGATGGGGGTGTGGTGTGTCAGGGCCCCAGGCTCGGAACCCCAGGGATGCTGGCCCTCAGCCCCTCCCAAGGGCAGGGCCTTTCCTGTCCCAGAGGCAGAGACCCTGAAGCCGTCCCTGGGGCTGGGGCTGGGCCTAGCCTGTATCCCCAGGGCCCTGTGACAACCTTGTCTTTGTCCTCTCTTGCCAGGAGTTATAAGATCCGCTTCAACAGCATCTCCTGCTCAGACCCACTGGTGTCCTCTTGGCGGCGGAAGAGGAAGGAGTCCAGTAACACAGACAGTGCAGGGGCCCTGGGCACCCTCAGGTCAGGGCCTCACCAAGAGGGGTGCAACGGGTGGGCAAGCTGCCTGGGCAAACGTGGCCTGCAAAGGGAGCTCCACTGACGACCCCTGCACCCCAGGTTCTGTGTGTTCGGGCTCGGCTCCCGGGCATACCCCCACTTCTGCGCCTTTGCTCGTGCCGTGGACACACGGCTGGAGGAACTGGGCGGGGAGCGGCTGCTGCAGCTGGGCCAGGGCGACGAGCTGTGCGGCCAGGAGGAGGCCTTCCGAGGCTGGGCCCAGGCTGCCTTCCAGGTGAGCCCAGCCCAGCCCCTGCTCTGACTCCTGCCCCCTGGGATGCCTCCTCCTGCCTCACTCTGCCCTGATTCTGTTTGGTTCTTTGGTCCCTTCCTGTTCCTTCCAAAATCCACCCTCATCTCTCCATGGCATAGCCAGCTCTTCTGGGTCAGGGGCAGAGGATGACATGGCCCTGCCGACCACAGGGGTGCCTAGCCCAGGCAGAAGTGCAGCCGAAAGAGAGCAGGCAGGGCCCTGGCAGGAGGGAGCTTCAGCCAGGCACAGGCTGGGCCTCACAAGTGGGCGCACAAAGGGAGGGGGTGCAGGGCAGGGCAGGGGACCCCACCCAGGATGGGCAGGATGGAGGGAGAAGGAAGGGACAGAGAGAAGGTCAGACAGAGGCAAGGGCTGAAGCTGAGGCCAGCACAGAAGCCACAGGAAGCCAGAGGCCAGACAGCCTGGGGCGGTGCCTGCACCGCAGAACTGGTCCCGGGCCGGGCAAGCAAGCACAGGGAGAGGTGGATCCCTGGGGGCTGTGGCTTTTTAAGCCTGGGCTTCCTCAGGGGCAGTGCTGCCTGTCTGGGGATCATGTCTGCAGTTGACAAGGGCTCGGTCTCCCCAGTGCCACACTGTTCAGGGCAGTGCTGCTGTCCCGGGGCCCAGGCTGGAGCTCAGCAGATTTGCCTTGATTGGAGGAGGAGGGCATCCTAGGAGGAGAGGGAGTGGGGGCTACCTCAGGGACGGGGAGGTCAGGCTGCAGAAACACATAGGCCCTGATTGGGAAGAAGGGAACGGAAAATAAGACTTAAAGAATTTAAACAAAAAGAGCCATTGCAGCGGGATGAGACCACATCATCAGGTTTTGGGAATAGGACTTTAGAGGCGTAGGATCCATTACAGCATCACCGAACCAGAAGCAGGAAGGCTGAGCTAAGCAGAGCAGCAGCAGTGGAGATAGGAAGGAAGGGAGGGAGGGGCCGAGGAAGGAAGGAAGAGATATAAGACTTCACACGCACCACAAAAGAAAGATTAACGGGACTTGGTGATATGAGGCTCAGCCAATCACGGGTGAGCCCTGCATTTCAAGCCTGGGACTGGCCCAGCAGTTTTCCAGCTGTGTGCCTGACCAGGAGTAGACGGGATCCACACCCTCCCAGGGATCTGCCCCGTGGGGTCCCCTCTGCCGCCCGAATTGTGCGTCCCTTCCCAGGAGCACTTACTATCTGCACGCACTTTGTGGAAAGCTAAGGGCTTTACATAAAGTATCTCATTTAATCTTCACCAGAACACAATGAGGTGTAAAGATGGGGAAACTGAGGCATGTCACTGTAAGTACGGGATTCGGAATTTGAATGCAGGTCTGAACACACAGACGCCTTCACAGAGCTACCGTGTGCCAAGCACTATGCTTCTCGGATCACGGGATTAACACGCACCAGATAAGGAACGATGCACCAATCAGGACGTGCAGAGAAAGAGCCAGCCGGGTCCCTGGGCCCAGCGGCCAATCCATGAAATGGGCTGGCGGAAAAGGTGCTGTCCTTGGCGCCGGCCTCAGCCACTGGGGCTGCCAACCCCCCAGGAGCAAGACGCAGTGAAGCCGCCCAGGCGCCTCACTAGGGCGACCCCTGGTGGCGGGAGGTCCTCAGCCCTCACCGGCCTGTCCCGCAGGCCGCCTGTGAGACCTTCTGTGTGGGAGAGGATGCCAAGGCCGCCGCCCGAGACATCTTCAGCCCCAAACGGAGCTGGAAGCGCCAGAGGTACCGGCTGAGCGCCCAGGCCGAGGGCCTGCAGTTGCTGCCAGGTGGGCCCTGCCCTCACCCTAACCCGGCTGGTTCTCTGAGGCCCCCACACCCCGGGACTAAAGCACTCTGGGGCCAGGCCCTGCTCCCTAGCTCAGGCTGCCTCATTTGCCCCTCCCCGCCCCCAGGTCTGATCCACGTGCACAGGCGGAAGATGTTCCAGGCTACAATCCGCTCAGTGGAAAACCTGCAAAGCAGCAAGTCCACGTGAGGACGACGGCTTTACCGCCCCCCCACCCCTGTCCTGAACACCCTGACCCTGGACCCTCCTCCTCCCACATTCTCCCGCCCCCACCCCTCTCTGACTCCCCATAAGTGCCCCTCTCCCCACCCCCAGGAGGGCCACCATCCTGGTGCGCCTGGACACCGGAGGCCAGGAGGGGCTGCAGTACCAGCCGGGGGACCACATAGGTGTCTGCCCGCCCAACCGGCCCGGCCTTGTGGAGGCGCTGCTGAGCCGCGTGGAGGACCCGCCGGCGCCCACTGAGCCCGTGGCAGTAGAGCAGCTGGAGAAGGGCAGCCCTGGTGAGGGGCAGCCTGGGAAGCAACAGGGCACACCAGCCCCATGCCCAGCCCCACCCCCGGCCCCAGGCCTCCAGGAGCTCAGGACCCGACCCAGGGGGTGGCCACCTCCTCCACAGCTCAGCAGGCAGGCTCAGAGCTGGCTGTGCTGCCCACTGCCGGGCTGGCCTTGTTGCTGGACCATCCCCACACCCTCAAATGCACCCCCACCAAAAGGCTGTCCCCTCCCTCTGGGCTCCTCTCCGAGGCTCCCCTAGCAATCTAGCTTGCTCTGGAGCTGGCACTGGGGCTATTTGCTGCCACATCAATGCCTGGGCTTTATTTAAAATAAGGGGGTGGAGTCAGAGGCAGAGGAGCCCAGACCAACCCAGTCCGGCCAGGGGCCCCCGAACAATACACTGAGGCTACCTAGACAGGCCGACCCCGCTGCTCAAGGGCAGGCTCTCTAACAGTCACCAAAACACAAACATCAGCCCAGGTACTGCAGTCCTGCTGGGCCCTGTCCTCAGAGCTCCCTGTGCACTATCCCCAGGTGGCCCTCCCCCCGGCTGGGTGCGGGACCCCCGGCTGCCCCCGTGCACGCTGCGCCAGGCTCTCACCTTCTTCCTGGACATCACCTCCCCACCCAGCCCTCAGCTCTTGCGGCTGCTCAGCACCTTGGCAGAAGAGCCCAGGGAACAGCAGGAGCTGGAGGCCCTCAGCCAGGTTGGGGGCCACCCCAATGAGGCACAGGGGCTAGAGAGACGGGATGAGCTGGGGGGACCCCAGTGGCAGGAAACCCCCATGCAAAGTCCCCCCTGGACTTTCTTCTCCTGGCCGACATGCACTGGTGCTTTAAGACCCAGCTCCTCAGGGAGGAATTCATGGCTGGATTCTCCAGGTCTTAGAGAAAACTCTATTGGCCTGAACTGAGCAGGGAGAAACCCTAAAGAGGCTCAGTGGGGGAGGGGTCAAGAAGGGAGGTTACTAGGAAGGGCTATGGGGCCTCCAACCCACTGCATCCTGCCCCGCCAGGATCCCCGACGCTACGAGGAGTGGAAGTGGTTCCGCTGCCCCACGCTGCTGGAGGTGCTGGAGCAGTTCCCGTCGGTGGCGCTGCCTGCCCCACTGCTCCTCACCCAGCTGCCTCTGCTCCAGCCCCGGTACTACTCAGTCAGCTCGGCACCCAGCACCCACCCAGGAGAGATCCACCTCACTGTAGCTGTGCTGGCATACAGGACTCAGGGTGAGGCAACAAGCAGGAGCAGGCCTGGCCACAGCAGGGTTGGGACCGGCCCCTCTCTGGCCCCTCACCGGCCTCTCCTTCCCACCCCCAGATGGGCTGGGCCCCCTGCACTATGGAGTCTGCTCCACGTGGCTAAGCCAGCTCAAGCCCGGAGACCCTGTGCCCTGCTTCATCCGGGGGTAAGTGAGATGGAAGACTTGGTGGGGAGCTGCCCAGGGTCAGGGTGGCAGCTTTGGTGAGGAGTGTCACTGGTGAGGGGTGTCACTGGAAACAGGAAGGAGCTCTGTAACATGTCAAGGGTGTGGTGTCATTAGGTCACTTCAGAACTCTGGCTAAGCTTTGGCTCTCTCATTCATTTAGACTCAGAGTTCTGCCCTGAAACTATAGCTCCCAGAGCCAGAGCTGGGATCAAACCGGCTGGCCCTGTGGCTTTCTGAAAGCTTCTGTGTTCCTCTCTATGTCCCTGGGCTGTCTGATGTTGGGCAGCATGGCACCTGGGAACTACAGTCACTAAATCCTCACTCAATCCAGGGAGAACTACTAGTTAGGGTTAAGACCACCCTTGGCCTTGGTGTCACCAAGGACTCAAAGAAGGTGAAGGTTTTGGTTTTTTTTTCCCCCAGAGATGGAGTCTTGCTCTGTCGCCCAGGCTGGAGTGCAGTGGTACGATCTCGGCTTACTGCAACCTCCGCCTCCCGGGTTCAAGAGATTCTCCTATGGCGTGAACCTGGGAGGTGGAGCTTGCAGTGAGCCAAGATTGTGCCACTGCACTCCAGCCTGGGCGACAGAGCCAGACTCTGTCTCAAAAAAAAAAAAAAAAATATTCTCCTGTCTCAGCCTCCTGAGTAGCTGGGATTACAGGCACCCACCACCACGCCCAGCTAATTTTTGTATTTTTAGTAGAGACGGTGTTTCACTATGTTGGCCAGGCTGGTCTCGAGCTCCTGACCTCACGATCCTCCCACCTCCGCCTCCCAAAGTCTTGGGATTACAGGTGTGAGCCACCGCGCCCGGACCGAGGGTGAAGGATTTTAAGAGACCCTTCCTTCATGCTGTGTCCAGAAGTCTTGCCCGCTCTCGCAGCCAGGAACCAAAAGTCCTGGTAGGACTGAGAACAGTTCCTAGGCTGCCATCAGCTGGGCCTGGTGATTCAAATCCACCCAGGTGGCTAAACTACAAATAAACCGTACCCATCTACTGAACATAAACTAAATACCACTATTAAGGATACTTAAAATAAACACACTTAGTGAACCCATTATGAACTGAAAGTGTCTTTCACCCTTCCCACGTTTTCTAAATCCCCTGAGTCATCTAAGTATTCTTCAATCCAAAATGAACTATATTTCCTTTGGTGCAATCTCCAGAAACCACAGATCCAAGGAGTTTCAGCAAGTAGAGTTGTTTTTTGTTTTTTGTTTTTTTTTTAATTTTTTTTTGAGATGGGAAGAACTTGGGTCCTCCTTGCTCCACCCACCCTGCATGGTGAGAATGGTGGAGCAGGAAAGGCAAAGGGGACCTGATGGAGTGTCTCTCCTGCCAGGGCTCCCTCCTTCCGGCTGCCACCCGATCCCAGCTTGCCCTGCATCCTGGTGGGTCCAGGCACTGGCATTGCCCCCTTCCGGGGATTCTGGCAGGAGCGGCTGCATGACATTGAGAGCAAAGGTGAGGCTGGGGACTAAAGGACTGCCTGAAGGGAGTCACACAATCTAGGGACAGAGGGGTGGGGCTGGAAGGCAGGAAATAGGAAAGAGAGGGCAGGAAACAAAGTCCACAAAGCTGAAAAGACGCTCATGAGACCAAGGGGAGGGCAGGTACCAAAGGCAAGGGCTGGGCCCTGAGCTTCTGGCTTCCTGGTGCCTGGTACATAGTAGGTGTTGACTGGATTGAGGACAAAGGAAAATAGAATTTTCAAAGGGATTAGGGCTAAGACTCAAAGAAGAACTGCCCAAGGTGGATTCTTGACTGTGCCAGAGCTGACCGAGGTCTGTCCAAGACCTAAGGATGCTACAAGGTGTTCATATTGAGCATGGGGTGCCCAGGGTGGTCTGTCAATCAAAAGAAGAGGGCTGTGACTGGGAGGAGAGTTATAAGTATGGGAGAATATGAAGTGGGAGCGGGGAAGGGGACTGCGATGTCACACAATGCAAAGGGCATGGAATTCTGAGTCCGAAGCCGCGCATTCTAGCGCAGCTCCACCAGGGGCCACCACCTCACCCGCGCTTCCCTTCCCTCTGTAAATCAGGGCTGTGCAGGGTCTCTGTGAAAGCATTCTACACTCTCTTAGAGATGAAACAGCCAAAGTAATGGTGGTTTCAGCCCAAAACGCTGGGCTGCCAGGCTGGGCGACGGTGGCCTGTGGGGAGGCCCCACTAGCACTGTGCCCCGGAGAAGAGCCTTCCCAAGCGCGGGGTTGCTTGCAGGGCTGCAGCCCACTCCCATGACTTTGGTGTTCGGCTGCCGATGCTCCCAACTTGACCATCTCTACCGCGACGAGGTGCAGAACGCCCAGCAGCGCGGGGTGTTTGGCCGAGTCCTCACCGCCTTCTCCCGGGAACCTGACAACCCCAAGGTGTGAGACCCTGAGGGCGCAATGGTAACCTGAAGATAGGGAGAGAGGGGAGGACTCGCGCTCTCCAGCGGGGCACACCAACCACGGCCCTCCCGTGGCCTCCCACGACCACTCAGCCACCCCTGCACACTCTGGCCCACCCTTGTGCCCCGGCCCCTCTAGGCCCGCCTCCTCCCGCCCCTGCCCCGCCCCTTTGGCTCTGCCCCTGTTGACACCGCCCCAGGGCACGCAGGCCCCACCAGGCCCGCTCCGGAGACTTTCACGTCCAGGGCCAGCCAGCAGCCCCGGGCTGCGCCCCCGCGCCCACCCCCACCAGGGCCCGCCCTAACCCCGCCGCCCCGCAGACCTACGTGCAGGACATCCTGAGGACGGAGCTGGCTGCGGAGGTGCACCGCGTGCTGTGCCTCGAGCGGGGCCACATGTTTGTCTGCGGCGATGTTACCATGGCAACCAACGTCCTGCAGACCGTGCAGCGCATCCTGGCGACGGAGGGCGACATGGAGCTGGACGAGGCCGGCGACGTCATCGGCGTGCTGCGGGTGCGGAGGGGCGGGCCGGGCCTGAGCGTGCGGGGTTCCTGCTAAGGTCTCCGAGTCGGGTTCTGATCCACTGTGCTCTTTTCCGACAGGATCAGCAACGCTACCACGAAGACATTTTCGGGCTCACGCTGCGCACCCAGGAGGTGACAAGCCGCATACGCACCCAGAGCTTTTCCTTGCAGGAGCGTCAGTTGCGGGGCGCAGTGCCCTGGGCGTTCGACCCTCCCGGCTCAGACACCAACAGCCCCTGAGAGCCGCCTGGCTTTCCCTTCCAGTTCCGGGAGAGCGGCTGCCCGACTCAGGTCCGCCCGACCAGGATCAGCCCCGCTCCTCCCCTCTTGAGGTGGTGCCTTCTCACATCTGTCCAGAGGCTGCAAGGATTCAGCATTATTCCTCCAGGAAGGAGCAAAACGCCTCTTTTCCCTCTCTAGGCCTGTTGCCTCGGGCCTGGGTCCGCCTTAATCTGGAAGGCCCCTCCCAGCAGCGGTACCCCAGGGCCTACTGCCACCCGCTTCCTGTTTCTTAGTCGAATGTTAGATTCCTCTTGCCTCTCTCAGGAGTATCTTACCTGTAAAGTCTAATCTCTAAATCAAGTATTTATTATTGAAGATTTACCATAAGGGACTGTGCCAGATGTTAGGAGAACTACTAAAGTGCCTACCCCAGCTCATGTGGATTACAGTTTTTTTTTTTTGTTTTTTTTTTTTTGAAACGGAGTCTCCCTCTGCCGCCCGGGCTGGAGTGCAGTGGCGTGATCTCAGCTCACTGCAACCTCCACCCCACAAGTTCAAGTGATTCTCCTGCCTCAGCCTCCCAAGTAGTTGGGATTACAGGTGCCTGCCACCGCGCCCGGCTAGGTTTTGTATTTTTAGTAAAGACGGGGTTTCACCATCTTGGCCAGGCTGGTCTTGAACTCCTGACCTCGTGATCCAACCGCCTCAGCCTCCCAAAGTGCTGGGATTACAGGTGTGAGCTACTGCACCCGGCGTGGATTACAATTATAAAATGACAAGATTTCTGTTTTAACCTGTGCAGTTGTGGGTATGTGGTGGGGAAAGGGGTCATTCTTTTGACAGAGTCCTACACGCCACTTGACCCTGCACTCTGAAAACATGGTTTCCAGCCAGTCTGGGCTGCTCCCCCGTGCAGTTCTCAGGCTCGTGATCGAGAAGGCAGGTGCAGCACTCAGCTGCCAGGAGTGGGGCCTGCCAGAAACAAGAGTCACAGAGATGTGCAACAGCCATGAGCAAGCTTTACTGCTTATTTCATACAGGATGGGGAGCCACACCCACTTCCTGGGACATCACACCCGTACTGAAGTCCAAAAACATCATCCCTCCCGTCTTTCCACTGACAAGTCCCCATCCCCTACAAGCCCCAAGGAACCTGAAAGTGCTGCTGGCAGCCGCCAGCATGACGAATCCACAGCCTTAAAGCCCACCTGCCTCACTGTCGCCCTTCCATTTAGCTCGGCCTCATCCTTGACCTCTGTCCCCCACCTTGAGGAAACTCGAGGACTTCTTCCCAGGCAGCTGCTCCAGGACACATTCCAGTTGGGGATGTCTCCCCTTATTCCCTCTGGGTGCAGACCATCTCTAAGACTTGTTTCCAGATGCCATCAGCATCTCCTCTCCTTGCCTACCTTTTCTCTGTTCTCGGGGCGAGTTCCTCACTGACTCCCAGGTCCTGCCCAACTAAAGCACCTGGGCCTGTCATCTATGGGGCCTCTAACAATGACTCCTTGTGTTTTTCTACTCCACCCTCCAATCTCCTGTGGCTGCCGAAGCCAGGGTACCTGTGGGAGGAGACGGCTCTTGGCAAGCAGTCCAGGGGTCTAGATTCCAGAGATGACCACCTCCCATCACCCCAAATTCCCACCACTGCTCCCATCGCTTCAAGTCGGACTCCAAACCAACTACCTATGCCGTCCTTTCTCCCTCCCCTCACAGGAGGCAATACTGACCCTGAGGAGTCGTCTCAGTCAGTGCAAGAGGCCCGGTCAGGCTCCTTCTGGGTGTCTGTGGTCACCTGAAACCCTCCGGGGAACAGATTCCGGGCCTTCTGGGTTCCCCACTGTTGTCTGGGGCTAGAGGCAGGACTGGAGCCTGGTGAAAAAGGCCATCAGCTGGGCAGTTCCATGATGCCCAGTGTCCACCAGGCTCTGTCCCCTGCAGGCCCCACCCTCCTCACCGTCACTTGACCAGGATGGCTTCTCCTCATCAGGCGAGGGTGGCTGTGAGGGGCTGGAGCAGGGCCTGGACAGGATGGAGGCTGCAGCCTCACCCCACGGCTCCTGCTGCTGCTGCTGCTGGTGAAGCTGCATGGAAAGGAGGAGGAATGAGGGCTGCACCCCAAGGAGGGCAGGGCCAAGCACCTGGGCTAGAGGCAGAGGGCTTTTCAGCCTCCTCCTGCCACTCTGCTAGACCCTTCCGTAGACTCCACCCCACCTCAGTCTCCATGTTGTTCACCTGCCTTCTCTCCACATTTCTCCTTTGGGCACCCCTCTACTCACCTGGTGCAGGTAGATGACATGGAGACTCATCTCGGCAGAAGCAAGTTCTGGGAGCTGGGCCAGCTTCTGGCCCCCAGTGCCTCCTGGGGACACAGAGCTGGAACATAACATGAAGCAGGTCAAAAGTCATGCCCTCCTCCCGCCACACCCCAGAGGACTCCCCTTCTGAATCCCCCCTCAGCGCCCCAGCTCCCCACTCCTACAGGATCAGCCCACCCCCCTCCACATGCCCCTGCATCTCAGCCTCCACTCCTCACCTGGGGTCCTGGGCAATTCGGGAAATGGAGGCAAGGAGGCTGGCTGTGGCCGCAGCTGGACAGGGGGCTGTCGGGCTCAGATCTCTCGGAGGCAGGAGAGGGTGCACGAAGAGGTTGGCCAGGAAGGCCTCAGGCTGGGTGCAAGAGGAGAGGGAAAGCCAAAGAGGGAGTCAGAAGAGAGGACAGAAACGGAGTAGGGAGGAAGCAGAGGCCTAAAGAAGGCAGGAGAGCAGGCTGGGGGCGGGGGCTGGTGAGGCAGGTTACTACCTAAGGTGAGCCTAGAGGGGAAGGGTTTGGAGAGGAGTTGTGGGGGTGAAGGCAGAAGGGGAGGCCAGGCTTGGGACTCACCAGGGGCGAGGTGCAGTTGCTGAGCACCCCCGGGGTGGAGGGGCCGCGAGCCGAGGTGGCACCCCAGGCAGCTGCATCTTGTTGTACTCGGCCCCAGAGGTGCCCAAGAAACTTAGAGCTGTGCCCTGGGGGGCGCCAGAGTGGATGCGCCAGGGAGAACCGCATCAAAGAAAGCTCAGTCTTGCCGTCCTCCGCACGCTGAGACAGCGAGGCCTCAGTCTGTCCCGCCGAGAGCCACTGTGAGCAAGGACAGTCTTTCAGGTGCTAAGAACACTGAGCCTTATGGGAACAGGTGGGACAGGAAACACTGCCCCATCTTCCACGTGAAGGAAACAGACCACAATGGGGACTTGTTCACCATCACCCAAAAATACAGCAGCAGTGCAGAACCTGGGCCTGTCATCTATTCGTCACCCCTGGACTGATTGCCAGCTCGGGGATAGGGCTGAGCCTCAGTGCTTTGCCCAGGGTGATCCTGACAGCCTTGGTCCAGGCACCAGTCCTTACTCAGCCCCACCCACCGGCCAAGCCCATTCCTCACCCCCAGGTGGTCTTTGCTCCCATTTACTGACGTTACTATGTGCCAGCAACTCCATCATAGGCTATACAGACATAATCTGTGTGTTCACAAGCCTGGCCTTGGCTGTGCTCTGGAGAGCACATTGCCATTGTTGCCATCTGACAGACGAGGGCACGAGAGCACAGGAAGGGAAGTGACCCGCTCAACGGCACAGGTAGCAAGCAATGGAGCCAGGGCTGGAACTCAGGTCTGCTCCCGAGAGGCAAGCGAACTCCCACCCAGCCCAAACCCCCAGGGCCAGGGAACGGCTCTGACCTGAGGGTGTCCGTGGCGCTTCACATCCATAAGGGCAAAGGAACAGATGTCCCCAACCCCAGCCACATCCACAGTGAAGTGATGAAAAAAGTCGATAATCTCCAGGGCACGAGGGCGGAACCAGAAAAGCAGAAACAGCGGGGTGAGGAGCGGGGACAGGAGCTCCTCCAGGAGGGAGACCTGGGGAAGCAGCGGTGAGGCTGAGCAGGGGTCGCTGAGGGGCCCACGCGCGTTATCAGGACCAAGCAGTCCCCAGCGACCCTCGCCAGGGCAAGAAGCCTCCCCACCCAGTCACTCCCTAGACTCCTGGTATAGTCCGTTTGTCTCATGCCCTCTCCCAGACAGACCCTCCGCGCAGACAGACCCTCCGCGCAGACAGACCCCACAACTTCCTCCTCAGCCCGCCGTCGCGCCCACCCTCACCGCTCGGTACTGCAGCAGCTGCGCCATCTGCCGGTAGGCGCGGTCCCTGCCGCCGGGGCCGGGCTCCTCCGGGAGGTAGTGCATGTGGGCCAGGGCTGTCTGCAGCAGGAGCTGCGGCGCACGACCCTGGCACTGCTCTTCCGGAATGAAAGACCTGAAAGGCGGGATCCGTGGGGGGAAGGGGCCTGCGATTAGGAGGACGCGCGGTGGGATGTAGGGCTAGAGGGCCCCAGTGGTGGGAGAGGTAAGGATTCGGGGGGAACCTCACATGGCCCCAGATCAGAGAAACCAACACACACCACCACCCCGGGCATCTGCCGTCGCACCTGGCGACGGTGGCGGTGACCCCGAGCGCGGTCATGGCGGTGAGCACGTGCTCCACGGCTAGCACGTCCTCGTCGTAGACGGTGAGCACAAGCAGCGCGGCGAAGAGTGCACCCGCGAAGAAAACGAGCTGGCGGGCCAGCAGCGTGCGCAGGGGCGCGGGGGGCGCAGCGGTGCGCAGGAAGGCGGCGGCGGGGCGGTAGGCGCGGGCCAGGCGCGCGCGCAGCTCGTGCGGCAGCTCGTTGAAGTGGCGCAGCTGCAAGCGCGCCAGGCGGGACCAGCCGCGCGCCCCCAGCGCGCCAGGCTCGCGCCGCAGCAGCTCCACGTGGCTATAGAAGACGTGCAGAACCTGCCAGGCCAGCACCAGCGGGCTCAGCGCCAGGTTCAGGGCGGCCAGCAGCAGCACTGTGCGCCCCCAGCGCGCTGCTAGGGCGCCCCGCTGGTCGCTGCGCTTGTAGGCGTGCGGCAGCTCCCAGCCCCCGCGGAAGAGCGAGAAGGGACCGCGGAAGAGCAGCAGGTCGACATTGAGCGCCAGGCCGCGGCTGAGGAAAGCCGCACTGCCTCCCCAGGGCAGCGGGCAGCGGGCCGGCAGCAGGCCTTTGTTGGCCAGCGCCACCTGGTAGTTGGTGTAGCGCAGGATGCGGTGGTGGATGTCCAGCTCCGTCAGGGGCCGCGGCTGCACGCACAGGCCCCCGCTCCGCTGCAGTGCCAAGAGGCGGGACTGCACCTCTGCCCAGGGAACCGAGCTCAGCTCCTCCTGAAAGGGGCACTGATGAGAGCCAGCGACCCCCCATTCCTCTCCACAGTGATGCTCAAGCTCCACACCCCTAAGTGTGCGGCCTGAAAACCCGCAAACTGAGTTTGCGATCACAAACTCGCCATGACCAAGCTACATCGTCCCCCTCTCCCACCTTTCTCTTTCTGCCCTCCCTTAACCCTGTCACTAACAAGGGCGCGCCCTACTTCCTTCATCCTCTTCTAAACTGCCCTGTTCATCATCCCTGCCATTCATGTGGCCAGTAGTCATGCACTTCCTGGGGACGCCTCCAGGTGCTGGACCTGGCTTCTCAGCTCCTTAAGGGCCTGAGGCCCCCTCAGTTGTACACACAAAACAGACTGGCTGGCCAGGGGCGGTGGCTCACACCTGTAATCCCAGCACTTTGGGAGGCTGAGGCAGGCAGATCGTCTGAGCTTAGGAGCTCGAGACCAGCCTGGGCAACATGGTGAGACACTGTCTCTACTAAAAATACAAAAAATAGCAGGGCGTGGTGGTGTGCACCTGTGGTTGCAGCTACTGGGGAGCAGAGGCTGCAGTGAGCCAATATCACAGCACTGCACTCCAGCCTGGGTGAAAGACCCAGACCCTGTCTCAAAAGAAACAAAACAAACAAAAAAACAAAAAACCAGAATGTCTGGCAGTTCGTGGGAGAATCTCTCCTTCCCATTTCTAGTGCACCCACCAACTCTGGAACAGAATCCTCCCCACCTTCTGCCTGGGCATGCTTTACACTCCCAGCCCCACCCGACTCCAGGCCATCTTCGGCTCTGTCACCAGAAGCCTTCCCAGGACCTGGGCTATGTCCACATCTGGCAGTGGGGCACTGTCAGATCTCATTTGAAGGCTGCAAACCTCACTTCAGCCCAGTTTCACTCAGCTTTCCCAGTCCAGGTTAGTCAAGTCCCCCAGGCTGGCCTCTCCAGTACATCCCAGTGTCTTCCCTTCCCTTCCCCTGGAAGGAACAGGGGAGGAGGGGAAAGAAGGGAGGAGGAGAACGAGACGGGTGAGCAGTCTCCCGCCAGAGCCAATCCGAGGTCCAGCTTCCGCTCTCACCACCTCTGCTTCCCCGGCCTCCTCCCTCTCCTCTGCTCAGGGGCCTTCTAAGACCTCTCCCCTTGCTGCACATAAAGGCTGTGCAGAGGGCTCCGGACCTCCCAGGGGAGCAAGGGAAGCAAGCTGCAGAAGGCTACTTTCAAGCTGTGCCTCAAAGAAAGAACTTAGATACAGAGGAGGGAGGAGCAGACTCAAGATGGTGAGGAAACAAAGGGCAGAGCATAAGCAGTGGACAGTGACAGGCCAATGCAGTGGCTTCCTGCAATGCGGGGGATGGCTTTGAAGGCTCTGTTTTAGGCTGATGGGTCCATCTCCTCACTGCAGCTTCCAAAAGCTCATGGCTTTTCCCCACCTTCCTGCACTGGGGCTTAGAATGTGCTCCCCTCCCCTCCTGTCCTGCCCTTCCGAAGCCCAACCCAAATTCCTCCAGCTCTGAAAAGCCAGATAACTGCCCTTTCTCTTTTCTCTAATCAATGTTTTTAGCACAAACATGTAACTATATGTCATCTTATATGAGCCATCTAAATAAACTAAACTCCCTTAGGGTAAGGGCCATGCTCTCTAGGTGGTGGTAGCCCCCTCCTGACATTATTCTGGGCCTAGGGCAGGTGTCAATAAGACCTCGCTCTTTCTGCCCTCTTTCCAGTTGGCCCTTCCACCTGTACAGTCCCACTTCTTCCCCTCTCCTCTGCCCACCCTCTCACGGCACCCTCTGCACAGACACAGCCACCCAGCTCACCGGGGGGATGTGCAGGGCCTCCCTGTAAAACACCTGGATGTCCCAGTAGCTGAAGAGGTTGCAGACTGAGCGAAGCAGTTGGACCAGCCAGAAGCCGGCAGCCAGGACCAGGAGGAGGACCAGCAGCGGGCTGGAGCGGATCCTGTATGGGGTTGGGCGGGCAGTGGGGGAGAAAGGTGGGCGCCTGAGAAAGAGGCAGACCAGACTTCGGGAGTGAGGAAAAACCATCATGAGGAGGGGGATCTAGCTAGACCAGCAGCTCTCAAGGTAGAGCCCGGGGCAGGGGGTGGGTGCTGAAGTGGCCTTCACAAATGTGCAAAGTCAAACTTTTTCCAAATAATACTAATGCTTTCTGATGTTTTCATTCTTGTACTCTGAGAGTACAGTGGAGTTTTCCAGAGGCTACAAGACACGTGAACATGTCACATCACACTGACAGCTGATGAAATGTGTGCTTGTACACTCTTTTTTTTTTTTTTTGAGATGGAGTCTTGCTGTGTCGCCCAGGCTGGAGTGCAGTGGCGCAATCTTGGCTCACTGCAACCTCCACCTCCCGGGTTCAAATGATTCTCCTGTCTCAGCCTCCAGGGTAGCTGGGACTACAGGCGCCCGCCACCACACCTGGCTAATTTTTGTATATTTTAGTAGAGACAGGGTTTCACCATGTTGGCCAGAATGGTTTTGATCTCCTGACCTTGTGATCCGCCCGCCTCGGCCTCCCAAAGTGCTGAGATTACAGGTGTGAGCCACCACGCCCAGCCGCACTCTTACATTTTAAAGTTGTTCTCAGCTACAATTTCCTTCTTTTTTTTTTTTCCTTTTTATTGAAACAAGGTCTCTCTCTGTTACCCAGGCTGTAGTGCAGCAGTAGAAACATAGCTCCTATCTCCCTGCCAAATAACGGCCCAGGTCTGGAACAGTTATTTGGTTGGTTGGCAAAGAGAACATTGCAATCCATGCTTCAGGGAGGAAGGTTGTGAAGGCAACAATGAAAATGAATCGTCTGCTGGGAGGGAGGAGGGTGTAGGGATGCTGCAGTGATCAGAGACAGTCACTGTCTTAGCCTCCTGACTAGGCTTAGCTAGGACTGCAGGTACGCACCACCAAGCCCAGCTAATTTTTATTTTTTATAGAGATGTGGTCTCACTTTGTTGCTCAGGCTGATCTCAAACTTCTGGCTTCAAGCAATCCTCCTGCCTCAGCCTCCCAAAGTGCTGGGATTACAGGTGTGAACCACTATGCCCGGCCTAATTTTAATTTTTTATAAGGTAAAATGTGGATAGATACGACTCCCATAAACAAAAGCTTTTCAGGATTCTCAACCAATTTTAAGTGTATTAAGATACACTTAATGCACTGTAATTAAGATACACTTAAAAGGCCGGGCACAGTGGCTCACACCTGTAATCCCAGCACTTTGGGAGGCCAAAGTGGGTGGATCACCTGAGGCCAGGAGTTCCAGACCAGCCTGGCCAACATGGTGAAACCCTGTCTCTACTAAAAATACACGTGGTGGTGCACGCCTATAATCCCAGCTACTGGGGAGGCTGAGGCAGGAGAATTGCTTGAACCTGGGAGGTGGAGGTTGCAGTGAGCCAAGACCTCACCATTGCACTCCAGCCTGAGCAACAAGAGTGAAACTCTGTCTTAAAAAAAAAAAAAGATATACTTAATACACTTTAAGTACAACTTAATACACTTAAGTACAACTTAAAGTATATTAAGTGTATTTTTGGTCCTAAGACCAAAAGCTTTGAGAACTGCTGATCTAGATGACGGGACAAAGTGGGGCTCCCGTCTACTCCTCTACCCACTGCCCATGCTTCACCCCCAGGGCCCCACCAGGTTGTCACTAACCTCTCAGCACACTGGGCTGAGGGTAGGATGGCATCTGACAGGGTCACTTTGCTGTGGAACGGCCCAGGTCTGGTATGGTTACTTGGTTGGTTGGCAAAGAGAACATTGTAATCCACGCATCGAAGGAGGAAGGTTGTGAAGGTGACAATGAAAATAAATTGTCTGCCGGGAGGAAGGGGGGGTGCCGGGATGCTGCAGTGATCAGGGACAGCCAGGTGGGCTCCTGCCCCAGCCCCCAGAGCAGCCCATGGTTATCCTCCCTGACCCTGCCCCTGCTGAGCCCTTGGGCTGCTCGGGAAAGCATGGGATGGAAGCAGCTGGCACAATTAAGGAAGCAAAATGACAGAAGGAAGCCATGGGCCCAGGGGACCGAGTTCCGGGCCCGGGCTAAGCGTCTCACCCCAGCTGGAAGACATCCTCCAGCAAGATGCAGGCAAAGCCATTCCGCTGGTGGTAGCTGTAGATGTGGCTGCGTGTCAAGGAACAAGCCTGAGGCACGGGGGGCCTCTCCTGAGGACACCTCCCCTCAGCCCCAACAAGTCTCCCACCCATGACGCCCTCACGGAGTCTCCCTGCCAAGAACAGTGCCAGCTCCAAGAGGACCTTCCCATGCCACCTCTGCAGGCCTAGCGCAAAGGATATCTTGGTGAAGAAACTGTCCAGGTTCTGGATGTGATGCCAGGAGCCTGGGCACAGAGGGGAGAGTGTCAGCCCCTGGCATGTGATCAATTCTCCACGTTCTCAACCCGCTGCCAGAGGCCCAGCCTGGGATAAGTACTGGAGCTCCCAGGCACCACTAACCCTCTCCCACCCACACCCACACACATACCTCGGAGCCCTTCAGGGACATGAAGCAGGGGTTGCTGCTCCTCCCCGTGGATGGGTGAGTCTTGGGACCCCTCAGGGTCACAGTCCTCCAGCCGCTCATAATCCTGTTCAGGGATCAAAGGGCCTACCCGCAGCCCAGGAGAGTCCTGGGGGCACTGCTGTGAGGGAGTGGGGGTTGCCGGGGCCAGGGGTGGGGTGGAGTGGGATCCCCAGGAGGGAGATGCAGAGGCAGGTGTCATTGCAGGTTGAGCCTGTGTTGGGGGGGTGGCTGGGATAGGGAGAGCACTGTGGCAAGACTGAGAAGCCCCTGTCCCCTGTAGCACTGAGCAAGGGGGCCCTGCGGTGGGAGGGGAAAATGAGGAGGGGGAGCTTCTTGTATGAGGGGCAGGGGACAGAGAGAAGATGGAGATCCTCCCTCCCCCAGGTCCCCGGCATGAAGGAGGAGGAGGAGGTGGCAGTGGCATGGGGAGGAGGGGCACCGATCCGGGCCCCAGATCTCCCCACCGCCCCAGCCGCCTTCTTCTCCCCCCCCAGCCCATTCGGCTCACCATCAGGCCACGGCTTCTCCAGAAAGGTTGGAAGGATGGGAGCTGTTGTTGCTTCCACAAAGGTCTGTGACACTGAGCTGGGACTTCAACAGGAACAATGACAACAACATTACTAGGTGACTCAGCCTAGGCAGGCCTCAGGCGTCCCAGCTCTCAGTCACCTGTCTGATCACTCACACCCCTTCCAGGGCAACCTGAGGCCAAATCCCTCAGGGCCTGAGAGGGGCATCAGTTTAAGAGGAGGGGCCAAAGAGCACATTGAGATGAGAAGATTCCTATTATCTCCATCTTCAGACCTTGAATGAATGAAAGATAAAAAGAACAGCAGCCAAAATGACAAAAGCAAAAAGCAAAATCGTGTTAGAGCCAGGTGTGGTGATGTGTGCTTGTGTTCCTAGCTACTCAAGAGACTGAGGTGGGAGGATGGCTTGGTGCAGGTTACACTGGAACAGTATAGGTTACAGTGAGCTAGATCCTGCCCCCTGCCACCCCCCCCAAAAACATCCTATTAAAGGATTGTAGCAGGGCGCAGTACCTCACACTTGTAATCAATCTCAGCACTTTGGGAAGCCGAGGAAAGAGGATTGCTTGAGGCCAGGAGTTCAAGACCAGCCTGGGGAACAGAATGAGAAGACTCCATCTCTACAACAAATCTTAGGACCAAGATGTTAACTATTTCATTTCTTAAGAGTGTACCTCCCCCACTTCCCTCCACACACACACTACAGTGATCAACAGAGAAATGTTTTGTGACCAAAACAGAAAAGAAGAAGTAAAGGGGCCAGGCATGTTGGCTTACACCCGTAATCCCAGGACTTTGGGAGGCCCGGGCGAGAGGATCACTTGAGGCCAGGAGTTCGAGACCAGCCTGAGCAACTTAGGGAAACACCATCTCTACAAAATCTAAAAAACAAACAAAATAATTTTTTTTCTTTTTGAGGCAGTCTCACTCTGTCACCCAGACTGGAGTATAGTGGCACAATCTCGGCTCACTGCAACCTCCGCCTCCCAAGTTCAAGTGATTCTTCTGCTTCAGCCTCCTGAGTAGCTGAGACTACAGGTGTGTGCCACCACACCCAGCTAATTTTTTGTATTTTTAGTAGAGATGGGGTTTCACCATGTTGGCCAGGCTGGTCTTGAACTCCTGACCTCGTGATCCACCCGCCTTGGCCTCCCAAAGTGCTGGCATTACAGGCGTGAGCCACTGCGCCTGGTCAAAAATAAATTTTTTAAAAAGAATAAGAAAAGGTTGCATGTTTTATTGGTCTGAGGTGCTAAGGAAGAGAAGAGGGGAGGCTGACTTTGCAGCCAAGTTGGGGAAAACTAAGAAGAGGAGGTGAAGAAAGGAAAGGCAGCTATCTTGGATTTGAGAGTTGGTTTGGAGAACTTAGAGTAGAAAATTGGGGTTCTCTGAAAGTTCCATTCCGTTTGCATCCTTATCATTTTCAACTGTGACATTCTCTCAAGTCCGGATCCCACTTCTGGGACCCCCTGAAAAGCATCAGGGCTGAATCAGAAGGGAGGACAGCTGTGAGTCTGGGACTTGGAAGGATAATTTGGATACCCAGGGAGGAGCTGAACTGAGTTCCTTGTTGTCACCTCAACAAGGAGGAGGAGACCCAGGCAGCTGGTCTGGTGGCTTGCCCAACGCCATTCTTGAGGCCCTGAATCACCAGGTTTCCTTCTAAAGCCCATTACTGAGATACTGACTCAGCCACCAGGTGTCAAGGTCTCTAGGGCTTAGGCCTAAGGGCTGATGTTGGGGCCAGTACCCCTGAAATGGCGATATGGACACTGTGCTTCCCAGATTGTTCACTGGAGGCAATCATGGAATCACCCACAAAACTTGAATCCAGATGTGCCTGATTTTCTCCTTCTGTGTGGGGTATTGTAGTAGTAGCTCAGGTCTTGCATGCCTTTATCTCAGAGTAGGAGGCAGAGCTATGAAAACAAGACCCTGTCCTTCTAGAGGTAGCAAAATGGAATCCCACATTGCAGAGGGGCCAGGAAATTCCCATAATCTTTCTGAGACATCTGTCAAGATGGGTTATGTGGGGTGTTGTCTAGTCTCTCCCCCACCTCACTCGCCCAATGTCACTCAGTATCGTGGCTATTCCACCATAGTCACAATAGGACCCCCCCATACACCAAGAGCTCCCCAGCTCAACCCCAAACTAATCCTGGGACATTGTCCTACCTAGTTTCACCCTGAATTCATTCTCATTGACAGCCTCCCTACCACCACTCCCAATTCAAGTCGATTTATTTTAAAGGGCACTTTTCCTTGCCAAGCATTTGGAAGGGAAGAGGACAGATGAATAAAACAGAGCCACTACCCAAGAAGCTGCAGCCCAGTGGGGAGACAAATACGCAAACAAGTAATTACAGGGAAGAAACGAGTGGTGCAAACTCTTTGGCAGGAGCCTGAGGCAAGTCATTCTGACCCGGGTGAGGAAGGTATCTGCGAGGCAGACAGATCTGAGGCCGCGCCTTGATAAATTACAGGCCCTCCATACCAATAGTTCTCAATGGCTGAGGCGTAGGGCAAGAGTGTCAGAATCACCGGGGGAGTTCTTCCCCAAGTACACGTGACTGTGGGGAAAAGAAAGAGAGATCAGATTGTTCCTGTGTCTGTGTAGAAAGAAGTAGACATAGGAGACTCCATTTTGTTCTGTACTAAGAAAAATTCTTCTGCCTTGAGATGCTGTTGATCTGTAACCCTACCCCCAACCCTGTGCTCCCTGAAACATGTGCTGTGTCAACTCAGGGTTAAATGGATTAAGGGCTGTGCACGGTGTGCTTTGTTAAACAAATTCTTGAAGGCAGCATGCTTCTTAAGAGTCATCACCACTCCCTAATCTCAAACCACTCCCTAATCTCAAGTACCCAGACACAAAACACTGAGGAAGGCTGCAGGGACCTCTGCCTAGGAAAGCTAGGTATTGTCCAAGGTTTCTCCCCATGTGATGAAATATGGCCTCGTGGGAAGGGAAAGACCTGACCGTCCCCCAGCCCGACACCCATAAAGGGTCTGTACTGAGGAGGATTAGTAAAAGAGGAAGGAATGCCTCTTTGCAGTTGAGATAAAAGAAAGGCTTCTGTCTCCTGCTCGTCCCTGGGCAATGGAAATGTCTCGGTGTAAAGCCTATCTCTACTGAGATAGGGGAAAACCGCCTTAGGGCTGGAGGTGGGACAGGCTGGCAGCAATACTGCTTCTTAAGGCATTGTGATGTTTATGTGTATGCACATCAAAAGCACAGCATTTTTTTTTTTACCTTGTTTACGATGCAGAGACGTTTGTTCACGTGTTTACCTTCTGACCTTCTCTCCACTATTATCCTATTATCCTGCCATACCCGATAATGATCAATAAATACTAAGGGAACTCAGAGGCTGGTGCCGGCGTGGATCTTCCGTAAACTGAACTCCGGTCTCCTGGGCCCATTTTTCTTTCTCTATACTTTGTCTCTCTGTCTCTTTCTTTTCCAAGTCTCTCCTTCCACCTAATGAGAAACGCCCACAGGTGTGGAGGGGCAACCCACCCCTTCACGTGACAGATGTCCCAGCAGTTCTGACGCACCTAGGAGAGCGGGGTGGGTGGCAGGGCATATGTACGTGTTTTGAAAAAACTCCCAGTCGATTTTTGTTCATTCCTCCCCCAAAACCCGCGTTCTACACGCCCTTGAGACGACGGGACATCTAGAGATCCTGGAGCCTTGGGAAAATGGCCCGAGGTCGGCGGCTGACGCGTTACTATGGATACTCCATAGCTTGGAGGGCCAGTCGGGCCACACCCTTTGGACGTCACCCGGAGCCCACAGGAGCACCTGGCAAAAGCCAGGCCCACTTCCTGCTCGGCTCCGCCCAGAGCAGGGGGCGGGCGGATAGGCGATTCCCTCCAATCACAGTTCCAAAAGGAGGGGGCTGACAACATATCCTCCAATCACAGCTTGAAGTGAGATTGATGTGTCTTTTCACCAATCACCGCCAAGGCGCGAGGGGGTTGTCGGGATGGGGGCGGGAGCCAACATAGAGCCCTCAGTGGGATGAGGGTGAAACTGCTATTGCCGGCGGCTCCTGTTTTACCGCGTCAGCATGCTGGTGCATTTATTTCGGGTCGGGATTCGGGGTGGCCCATTCCCAGGCAGGCTGCTACCGCCCCTCCGCTTCCAGACATTCTCAGCTGTCAGGTAAAAACGGAAAAACCTACTCAGAGCGGGCCATTGACCGCCCGGCAGGGCAGTGCCGGCCCGCCGGGAGATGGAGTCCACGAGCTTGCGCGAGGCTTGCTGGGAGCTGTAGGCCAGGCCTACCGGGGTGGAATGTCACTCCGCGGGTGTTGGCCTCAATTATTTATAGTGACACTCCAGTCGCCAGCAGGAGGCTCCTGCGTCTGCAGCCGCGTGTCAGCCAGAAGGAGGGGACGCTCGGGGTCAGTGACCACGCCCAGTCCGCACTCCCGACCGGGGGTCCCCTTTCCTGGCCCTGGAGGTGATTGCGCGATTTGGACGAAAATTCTTATTAGTATGAAGAGACATTTAATGTAGTGGTGCTTCCAGGATTCAAAGTGAGTCGAAGAAGAACTAGAGATGTTCAGCAGGGATAAAGAGCCAATCTAATAGGCCGGGCGCGGTGGCTCGCTCCTGTAATCCCAGCACTTTGGAAGGCCAGGAGTTCGAGACCAGCCTGGCCAACATGGCAAAACCTCGTCTCTACTAAAAAATACAAAAATTTGCCGTGATTGGTGGCACGCGCCTGTAATTCCAACTACTTGGAAGGCTGGGGCAGGAGAATCGCTTCAACCCGGGAGGCGGAGGTTGCAGTGAGCTGAGATCATGGCCACTGCACTCCAGCCCGGGTGATAGAGTGAGACTCTGCCTCAGAAAAAAAAAAAAAAGAGTCAATCTAGTAACTTGTACATGTGTGTTTTTCGCAAAACACTCTACACAGGTTGGTCGAGAGAGAGAGACAGACAGACAGACAGATGGGAAACAAACAAGGACCCTGAAACTACAACTCGAATGTAAATGCTTTATGAGAAGGGACTGATTCCTTTTTTTTTCTTTTCTTTTCTTTTCTTTTCTTTTCTTTTTTTTTTTTTTTTGAGACAGAGTCTCGCTCTGTCACCCAGGCTGGAGTGCAGTGGCATGGTCTCGACTGACTGCAACCTCTGCCTCCTGGGTTCAAGCAATTCTCATGCTTCAGCCACCCAAGTAGCTGGGATTACAGATGTGCACCACACCCGGCTAATGTTTGTATTTTTAGTAGAGACGGGGTTTCATCATATTGGTGGGCAGACTGGTCTTCAACTCCTGACCTCGGGTGATCTGCCTGCCTCGGCCTCCCAAAGTGCTGGGATTACAGGCATGAGCCACCTCACCTGGCCATCCTTTCTAATCCTAGAGTGAATTACTTGGGGGCCAAACAGATAGAAGATTCCCAAGGGCAGGTGGATGTGGAGTTGTGTCATTTGGAAAGCCCATCTGACTGATGGAGGGCAAGAGCTGGATCGAGCTGGAGCTGGAAGTCTTGGTACTGGGAAGTAATCCACATGCTCTTGGCAACGACCAAGACTTTCTTAGAGTCTTAGTTTGGAGACAATGCAAGAAGCTGGAAAAAGACCATGCTAAATTATTGAAAGGTTTAAAAACAGTTCTTAGGAAAGAGTAAGGGTGTTGATGTTATTTAAACCAGAGAGAAACCCAAGGAAAGACATAAAATAATATTCAAGTATATATGTGTTCATTAGTCAGTATTTTTCAATAGATTATGAAATGCATTTAGTTGGTCAGGACCATTTAAAAGTAAATATAGGCTGGGCACGGTGGCTCACGCCTGTAATCCCAGCACTTTGGGAGGCCAAGGCAGGCGATCACCTGAGGTCAGAAGTTTAAGACCAGCCTGGCCAACGTGGTGAAACCCCGTCTCTGCTAAAAATACAAAAATTAGCCAGGCGTGGTTGCACGCACCTGTAGTCCCAGCTACTCGGGAGGCTGAGGCAGGAGAATTGCTCAAACCTGGGAGGCAGAGGTTGCAGTGAGCCGAGATTGTGCCATTGCGCTCCAGCATGACAGAGCAAGACTCCGTCTCAAATAAATAAATAAAAGTAAATGTAGGCCAGGCACAGTGGCTCACACCTGTAATCCCAGCACTTTGGGGGGCCAAGGCAGGCAGATCACTTGAGGTCAGGAGTTCAAGACCAGCCCGGCCAACATGGTGAAACCCCATACAAAACTTAGCCGGGTGCGTTGGCTCACGCCTGTAATCCCAGCACTTTGAGGGGCCGGGGCAGGCAGATCACTTGAGGTCAGGAGTTCAAGACCAGCCTAGCCAACATGGTGAAGCCCTGTCTGTACTAAAAATACAAAAATTAACCAGGCATGGTGGTGGGCGCCTGTAGTCCCAGCTACTCGAGAGGCTGAGGCAGGAGAATCGCTTGAACCTGGGAGGTGGAGGTTGCAGTCAGCCAGCATAGCACCACTGCTCTCCAGCCGGGGCAAAAGAGTGAGACCCTGTCTTGAAAAGAAAAGAAAAGAATCAGAATACATGTTAAGAATTAGAGAAAATGTTATTTTGTGAAGCATTTCCATTTTGTGTGGCATGTATGTGTTCATTGTACTGGGTTGCAAGTAAGATATGTTTCTTGCTGTAGGCCACAGTAAGTCTAAACATTTGCAAAACCCTGTAGTAGTTAGGTCAGATTGTCCTGCACCTCTAATGAGGGCATGCATGTGCTCAACAAGCATAAACATTTGCGGAACATCTATTATGTACCGGAGTTCTGCCAGTGCTGTCTAAGATATAATTTCCTGCCTTTCAGAAACACATGGCGTAATGGGAAAACTGGACAGTTACACAAGGCAGAAGGAGAGTAAGCGTCTCTATCTTTCTAATAGAAACAAGAACACAGTGGAAAACAAGACATAAAAACCTGGCAGTTGGAATGGGGTGGGAGAAGGCCTCATGTAGGCAAAAGGCACAGGCCTTCCTGAAAGCAGGGGAAGGATGAGATGAAGACTGCAATTAGAAGGGTCTAGGGATGTGAAAGGCCATGATGGTAAAGAGAAAAGCTCACACTACTCTTTTTTTAAACCTTTCCCCATCAGTAAGCTTATCTAGATCTTCTAGATCTCACCATCCTCTCCTGGCTGGATAACTTCTGCTCCCTACAACCAGTCCTGTCTGCCTCCAGCCCATGCCCCTCTGCTATGATCTTTTTTTTTTTTTTCAAGACAGAGTCTTGCTCTGTTGTCCAGGCTGGAGTACGGTAGCACGATCTTGGCTCGCTGTGACCTCCTCCTCCCAGGTTCAAGTGATTCTCTGCCTCAGCCTCCCAAGTAGCTGGGACCACAGGCACACACCACCACATCCAGCTAATTTTTAGTAGAGACAAGGTTTCAACATGTTGATCTAGAACTCCTGGCCTCAAATGATCCACCCGCCTCAGCCTCCCAAAGTGTTGGGATTACAGGCGTGAGCCACTGCGCCCGGCCATGCTACGATCTTTAAAATGAAAACCTAATCTTGGCACATCTCGGCCTAAAAATCACCATGACCCTTATTGCCCCCCAAGTCCAGGAGCTTTATAAGAACTAGAAAACTGCCCCTCCCGCAAGTCTCATGTCTCTTTTCCCTTCTTGTAGGTCAGGCTTCAGCCATACAATTCCTGAAATTTCTCTCCCATCCTTTCTTACTGGAGATACCTGCACTTGCTTTTCCTCTGCCTAGAGCTCTCCCCTTTACACTCCACCCCCACCTGTGCCTGGCCTGTTCCCCCTCACAGGTTCCCCCTTACCTAGAAGGCCTTTCCTGACTCCCTCTGAGGAGAAGGAGGAGCAGGGCTTCAAGCTGTTTTGTGCCTCTGATTTCCAGTTAACTGTGAGTCTCCCGCACTCAAGCATGACTGCTGTGAGGGGAGTTACTTCAGCTGTCATGTAACTCCATAACTCCGAGCAGAGCACCTGCACACAGTAGGTTCAAAATGTGTAGAATAGGCCAGGCACGGTGGCTCATACCTGGAATCCCAGCACTTTGGGAGGCTGAGGCAGGTGGATCATGAGGTCAGGAGTTCAAGACCAGCCTGGCCAATAAAGCGAAACCCCATCTCTACTAAAAATACAAAAATTAGCTGGGCGTGGTGGCTCGTGCCTGTAGTCCCAGCTGCTCAGGAGGCTGAGGCAGGAGAATCTCTTGAACCCGGGAGGCAGAGGTTGCAGTGAGCCGAGATTGTGCCGCTTCACTCCAGCCGGGGTGACGGAGCGAGACTCTGTCTCAAAAAAAAAAAAAACACAATGTCTAGAATAGTGGAATCGATGTTAGCATTTTATAGATGTGGCAGCTGAAGGAAAGAGAAGGTAATTGTCCTATTCAAGATGACAAGATAAGTTATTAGAATTCTTATTTTTCTCTGTTTCCTCCTTCAGCTGTGGAGAGGGAGTGTGTGTCATGGCGCCCCAGGCCAGGGAGGGGAGGTAGGGTAATGGGCCTGGGACATCAGAAGACATGGCACACTGGCAGAGTAGAGCCAGCCTGGGTGCTGGAGTCAGACTGCAGACTTGGTTCCCTGCTCGTCCCAGTTCTGCTGCCTGCGGACAAGTTATTTCAGCTCTCTTAGCTCCACATGATTTTTTTCATCTGTCAGGTGAGAATAATGGCACCTCCCTCCCAGGGAGGTGAGGATCAAGGGAAGTAGCCCATTAGCTCCAGGAGGTGGGGCTGTGTCTGCCCTGGTGGCTGCTGTGAGCAAGTCCAGTGCCGGGCACAGGAGCAGCTCTCTTTCCTCACCTCTCTGCACCGTGGTCCCTTAAACCCCCGGCCCCTTCCTGTCCAGGCAGTGTGTGGCCATCTAACGTGCCATCCAGTTCTTCAGGCTGTCATTCTGTCAGAGCCTGGAGTCGAGGCTGCGAGGGCCCTGGCTGGCTGGGTGTTGCCTGAGAGTTGCCCAGGGGAATAAGACTTTTAAGACTAGATTTTGTGCTCAGTGCCTCATTCCTCTGCGACTTTGCCCATGGACATGTCTTAGAAACTGAAGTTGCTTCAGAACAGCCCTGAGAAGGGCAGGGGCAAGGGCCTGACAGAAGAGGAAGTGCTCCTTCCAGAGGGCTCAGCCAGAGCCCCATGGGTGTGCTGGTCAGCAGGAGGGCAGTCGGAGCCTCAAGCCATCCATGCCTCTCTCTCCTTACAGGTACTCTGATGGCTACCGCAGCTCCTCCCTCCTCCGGGCCGTGGCCCACCTGCGGTCCCAGCTCTGGGCCCACCTCCCTCGAGCCCCCCTAGCTCCCAGATGGAGCCCCTCTGCCTGGTGCTGGGTTGGGGGAGCCCTGCTAGGCCCCATGGTACTGAGTAAGCATCCCCACCTCTGCCTTGTGGCCCTGTGTGAGGCAGAAGAGGCCCCTCCTGCCAGCTCCACACCCCATGTCGTGGGGTCTCGCTTTAACTGGAAGCTCTTCTGGCAGTTTCTGCACCCCCACCTGCTGGTCCTGGGGGTAGCCGTCGTGGTGAGGCTTTCCCCACTTCTCCATCCTGGGGACAGGGCAGGACCCAGAGCTGCAAAGGGATGGCATTCCTGCCTCGCTGCCTCTCAGGGGAGAGCTCAGGGGAGCAGCAAGGGCTAGCCAGGGGTCCAGGGGTGCCAGGAGCATCAACACTGGGTGGCTGGGTGGGCAGGGTTCCGTGGGGACTGGAAGCCAGGGTTTGAACCTCTGAGAGGCACTGATGTGTCCACATGACCAGCCACAACCTGGACAAGCGCAGTGCTCAGTAGTGGGAGAGGAAGGGCCAAGATCTGGCTGGGGATGGGGAGGAGTGGCTCCCCCACTTAAAACATTTGTGCCCTCTGTCTCCCCATTCCAGCTGGCCTTGGGTGCGGCACTCGTGAATGTACAGATCCCCCTGCTCCTGGGCCAGCTGGTAGAGGTCGTGGCCAAGTACACAAGGGACCACGTAGGGAGTTTCATGACTGAGTCCCAGAATCTCAGCACCCACCTGCTTATCCTCTATGGTGTCCAGGTACAGCCGGGAGTGGGGCTGGGGACCGCCGAGGAGCCACCCGAGGCATCCCTGAGTGCACTGGGCTCTTTCGCAGGGACTGCTGACCTTCGGGTACCTGGTGCTGCTGTCCCACGTTGGCGAGCGCATGGCTGTGGACATGCGGAGGGCCCTCTTCAGCTCCCTGCTCCGGTACTGCCAGCCGCAGGGTGCAGAGTTGGGGTGACTGATGGCCTGAGGGGTCTGGGGGTAGGACCTTATCCTGAAGTAATGTCTCCCTCTTCTGCCCTCCTTATTGGTTCTTGTCCCATGCCAGACAAGACATCACCTTCTTTGACGCCAATAAGACAGGGCAGCTGGTGAGCCGCTTGACAACTGACGTGCAGGAGTTTAAGTCATCCTTCAAGCTTGTCATCTCCCAGGTCAGTGGCCCAGTGGCCCCCACCACGTCCACACACACACTTTCCCATGTGGATTCACCAGGCCAGCCCTGCCCGCCCCAGCCCTGATGTTGGGCTGACAGGCGCATGCTGACTCGAGAAACCCACTGCCTGTGAGGGCATGGGTGAGGGACCATGGAAGTTCATGGAAGGAAAGTGTAGAGGCAGTGTCCAAGGTCAGGACAGGCTGCTTCTCCACTGCTCTGAAACCGAATCTTCCCTGGAAAGCCTTCCCAAGCACTCAGACAAGAGCCTTTCCTGGCAAGAGCAAAATCACTTCGCCTGCCTTGTCCCCAGAGTGCCTGGATTGCTGACAAGCATTGAGCATGTGCAGTGGCCTACCGAACACAGATGCCCTCCCCTTATCCGCCCACACCGACTCTGACTGCTGGATCATGCCACACACTGGCCTAGGCAGTCACTGGTGTACCCCCATGCAGTTCTCTTTGTTCAGTTCCTAGAACAGAAAGAGAAGCAAGCTGGGATTTGTCTAGGGGAAGGATGCCACAGTTCATAGCATTCTCGCTCGGCCCCCTCAGGCCTGCTGCTCGCACCCCAACTGGCCGAGTTAGGGTTACGTACTGTGACCGGTGGACTGCCACTGGGCCTCCCAGGGGCCAAGACCTGGGCCTTGGCCGTGGGAGTGCAGAGCTACAGTCAGCTGACCCTTGGAAAAGTCCTTCCTGTCATGGTGCGGACGCCGTAGCCTCCCGCCTTCCCTCCCACTCCCTAGGGGCTGCGAAGCTGCACCCAGGTGGCAGGCTGCCTGGTGTCCCTGTCCATGCTGTCGACACGCCTCACGCTGCTGCTGATGGTGGCCACACCAGCCCTGATGGGAGTGGGCACCCTGATGGGCTCAGGCCTCCGAAAATTGTCTCGCCAGTGTCAGGAGCAGGTACCGGCATTCCTGGCCATCCTCTTCACCCTCCCCACACCGTTTCTCTTTCCACTCCCCGGAACTCCTCCCTGTCCCCATCCTGGACTCCTTGTCCTGTTTTCTGGACTCCTTGTCCTGTTTCCTGGACTCCTTGCAGATCGCCAGGGCAATGGGCGTAGCAGACGAGGCCCTGGGCAATGTGCGGACTGTGCGTGCCTTCGCCATGGAGCAACGGGAAGAGGAGTGAGTCCTGGGAGGGCGGAGCACAAAGCAGAGATGCCCCCCACACCCTGCCAACCCTTCGTGCCAGCCCAGCTGCCTCCTGAATGCACTGGTCTCTCTCACCAGGCGCTATGGGGCAGAGCTGGAAGCCTGCCGCTGCCGGGCAGAGGAGCTGGGCCGCGGCATCGCCTTGTTCCAAGGGCTTTCCAACATCGCCTTCAACTGTGAGTGAGCCATTTGGGGGCTGGAGGGGCGCTTGTGGGCTGGGGAGGAGCTGGGAGCAGCCAAGGCAGGCAAAGGCCCTCCCTTCATCTGCTGGCTGCCTGCATTCGCCTCGGGCCAGCTGCTAACTCTTGCAGGTAAAGGGAGGGTGCCGATGTCCCAACCCAGCTATGGGACTCCATGTGGAACGCTACAGGGCCACCCTCAAGGAGGCCATGGAGGCGTGCCCACCCCAACTTGCTCTTCCGAGGAGGAAGCCAACGCTGGGACCAGTCATGCGCCTCACCTGACTCTCCCAGTCAGCAGTGGCAGAGCAGGCCCAGGGCTGTTTCCTCTGCCCTGGCTTCGTCCTCCCTCACTTCCCCTCTCCTGCAGGCATGGTCTTGGGTACCCTATTTATTGGGGGCTCCCTTGTGGCCGGACAGCAGCTGACAGGGGGAGACCTCATGTCCTTCCTGGTGGCCTCCCAGACAGTGCAAAGGTAAGTGGGGGCCGTTCCCATTGCTACAGAGCCCCCTGCCGCCCTCCAGAGCCCTGCTGGGTTAGGGGACACGGGTGCCAGCCTTCTCTGGGGGCCGACTGCTGTGCAGCTCCAGGCCTGCCCAGCTTCCCCAGGGATGCATAGGGTGGGGAGAGAGAGCCCCTCAGGGCCCATAACAACCCTCCTGGCTGGGGCAGTGGCGCTGCAGCAGGCAGGTGCTTGTCATCTTCAGCCTTCCAAAGGACCCAGAAGTTTCCTTGACAGGCTTTTTAAAAATTTGTTTCAACTGTGGTAAAGTACACAAAACATAAAATACAGCATTTTAACCATTTTGAAGTGTGCAGCTCATGGGCAGTGGGTGCACTCACATTGCTGTGCGGCTGTTGTCACCGTCCGCCTCCAGAACTCTTACCTGGCAGAGCGGAAACTATCCCCATGACATGGGAATCCCCATTTGCCCTCCCCCAGCCCCTGGCACCCACCATTCCACTTTCTGTCCTTATGATTTGACAACTCTAGGGACGTCCTCTAAGTGGAGTCAGACTATGTCCTTTTGTGACTGCGTTTTGTCACTCCACATTGTGTCCTCAGCTTCCTCCGTGTTGCACCCTGTCCGAATTCCCTTCCGCTGCAGGCTGTGACATTCCATGCATGGAAGGACCATCCTTGACAGGCTGTGTGAGCTGCCCTTCCCCATGCCTGCCACTTCCAGGGATGACAAGCTGACCCCTGTCCCCACACACCCCACCCTTATAGCTTATTGCTTTGCGTTGGTCCAAAACCACCCGCTCAGCTGAGCCTCTGGGATGACCAGAGCTGATCACCAGACAGCTCAAGGCGGGCCTCCCCCCTCCTATCTCTTTCCAAGCTAAACACAAGCAGTTCTACATAAATATGTTATGGTAAATAATGAGATAGTAAATATGCTGTAACAGATCATCAAAGGGTGAAGACCCGTCTCCACGAACCGTGCATCACCTCTGCCACCCCATCCCTCCCCCCACGACCCCCCTGCTCTTCCACCGGGGCCCCCACCCCATTCTACTGAGGCATGTGTCCTCGCCCTGCTGCATGGTGCACCCCTGCGTGTGTGTCCGCCGGATCAGAACCCCTCACTGCAGGGTGTACTGTCCCAGGAAGCGGGAGGCGGACGGAGACAGGCTCCCATTTTCAGCCCCAAACCTGACATTCCACAGAGACGTTCCTCCCATTTCCGCAGCTGCATGGACACCCTCGCGTGCCCCGTTTCTGCTCGTGCTCCCTAATCTGAGCACCTTCAGACCCTTTCTGGTCCCGGGCTCAGGCCTCCTTGGCAGCCTCGCCCTCCTCCAGCCCAAGGAGCTGTTCTGTCGTGGCTTTGGAATTCAGATGCTCTCACTGTGATAGAGATGGGGTCTTGGGGGGCTGGGAGCTGTTCTGTCGTGGCTTTGGAGTTCAGATGCTCTCACTGTGATAGAGATGGGGTCTTGGGGGGCTGCCTCCACCACTGCCTGCCCTGCTCAGCGCTGACCCACTTCCCTTGACCAGAGTTTTGGCCTCTCTGAATGGGACGGTCGTTTTAGTCCTGAGGGCCCATAAGAAGCCCAGTGGCGGCTGGGTGCGGTGGCGCACACCTGTAATCCCAGCACTTTGGGAGGCCGAGGTGGGTGGATCGTGAAGTTAAGAGATCGAGACCATCCTGGCCAACATGGTGAAACCCCGTCTCTACTAAAAATACAAAAATTAGCTGGGCATGGTGGTAGTCCCAGCTACTCGGGAGGCTGAGGCAAGAGAATCGCTTGAACCTGGTAGGCAGAGGTTGCAGTGACCTGAGATTGCGCCACTGCACCCCAGCCTGGCAACAGCAAGACTCCGTCTCAAAAAAAAAAAAAGAAGCCCAGTGGCTCCCTTAATAAAATCACCCCTTAGCCCTCTGTGGTGGGCAGTGGTGGGACAGTCTCCCTGTGGGGAGGGTGGCTGCACTGTCCAGCCCCAACCCTCCCGCTTCGGGACCCCCACTTCCCCTTTAGGGCCTGAGACTCTGACTTTACCTCCCACCGTACTGCTTGGCCATCCAGCAGCTTTATGACACACACAAGAACCCCCAGGGGCTTGTCTGTGCTGTTTCGCTGGCTGCTCCCACAGCCACAGGCCCTAGACCCATCCTCTTGGAGGTCCTTCTAGCGCTGCCTATGTGGAGATTCTTCCCCACTCATCTTGGGGGTTTGGATTTGTTGCATAAAGCAGCTGATGTGTTTCCCACAGGGTCCTGCCAGCTAAGCCAAGGGCCCATGCATTGGCACTGGGGTCTAGCAGAGAGAGGGGAGCAGGATGGCCCGGCCTACCTCAGGCAGCCTAACCTATGAGCCCATCCTGAGTACTCCTGATGGAGATGGGGAGGTGCCCAGACAGACAGCAAGTGGGGCCCAGCCGCCTCATCAGAATCAGGGCCAGGCTCCACCTGGGAACAGGCCCGTAGCCTACAGCCCACGGCCCCTGAGAGCAGGGTCATCACACTCCAATGAGTCATGTGCATTTTGAATTTCAGTTGCTGCCCAGCCCCTTTGCCAGGCCCTAATGTCTTCCAGATCTCTGGTGGAGAATGTGCCCCTGCTCATCAACAGATAGCTGGCTGGGCTGGCTCCTTCCTGCCTGGTGCCTCCCCCGGCTGCCTTTAGCAAGTGCTGACTGCACTGAGTCCACTGGGACCTTTTCCTTTTGGGTTTCGAGGCTCCTCCCACTCACCCCCACCCTAGTGCTGGAAGAAGTGAGTCTGCAGCTGAAGGGTTGCTGGGGAGTCAGTCTTTCCTCTTACTTAGGAGGGGACCAGGCATACACACACTGTCACAGGTCAGCCAGGCCAGTCAGGGACCAGTGACTCACCTTCCTCCTCAGCCTCCTGGCAGCCGGCCAGCCCTACCCCGGCCCTGCCGGGACGAAGGAGGCCACCCACTGTCTAGACAGATAACACTGTGGGTATACTTATCTGCAGGGCAAGCTCATGAGAAAAATTTTTTTCAGGGAATTTTGTTTTGGGGTCTCCTGAGAGTTCCCCTGTGGCCCAGTGTCTTCTGTTTTCTTCTTTCTCCAAAAAGATTTAACATCACTTCTTCCACCTAAATGTCTGCCAAAGTCATTGCTTCCCCAAGAGTCTGCAGCATTAGATCTGCTCTCCCCTTCTAAGCCACGCACCCTTGATCTCTGTTCATGGTGGCGGCCTCCGCATCCTCAGGGCCGAGCAGGGAGTCCGTGGGTCAGCTGGGCTCCCTTCCTCGTGGGCTGATATCACCGCTGCATGTGTGCACAGGCCTCACCCTGCAGACCACAGGCCAGGGCACTGGAGGACACCCACAGAGGCCTGTGCCTTCACTTCCATTTCCTCGTGGAGCACCCCCTCCCAGGGGCTTGGGCTGAGCTGAGGGACAGCTGTCATCCTCATCTGGCCAAGGAGGGAGCCAGGGCTCAGCGATCTGGTGTTGCTACGTCCCAGGGCTCTACGCCCCCATGGTGCAGGAGCAGTCTCTGCATTTGGCCACAGGCCACCTGCTTCCTTGCTCCCCCGCCCCACCGTGGCTTCCTTCCCCTCCTCTGGCTCTTCTTGTTCCCATCTATTCCACCCCTCTCTCCTTTTTCTGACAGGTCCATGGCCAACCTCTCTGTCCTGTTTGGGCAGGTGAGTGGCCGGTAGGGTGGAGGGCCTGGGGTGTGGAGTTTGTGCCGTGTGTGCCGCTGTGGGAGCTGCCTATTGACTGGGTGTGGGCGGGCAGAGGAGCTGGGGAGACCCCAGCCCAGAGCCATGGCCACTCCCTGGAGATGCTGTTGTCACCCCTACTCCTGCCTCCCTGCGGACTTTGGATCCCCTCCCACAGGTGGTCCGGGGGCTGAGTGCAGGTGCCCGGGTCTTTGAGTACATGGCCCTGAACCCCTGCATCCCACTGTCTGGGGGCTGCTGCGTCCCCAAAGAGCAGCTGCGTGGCTCCGTTACATTTCAGAACGTCTGCTTCAGGTCAGCACGGGTGAGCAGGCGTGGGGATGGGTCCCTGGGCCGGGGATGAGGCGAGTGGATTCGGGGGTGGAGGTCTGGACTAATGTCCCCCATAAACAGGCCCTCTCAGAGGGCTACAGGGAGACTTCAGGAGGGACCCGGGCAACAAGGGCTGGGAGCCTGGTCTGACTGGGGGTCTCTCGGCTCCTCCCAGCTACCCCTGCCGCCCCGGCTTCGAGGTGCTGAAAGACTTCACCCTGACGCTGCCCCCTGGCAAGATCGTGGCCCTCGTGGGCCAGTCTGGCGGAGGTAAGGGGAGCCCACCACCTCTTCACCCTCTGACTCTTCTCTAGCAGCCACTCAGAGCAAGGCCGGGAGCAGTGAGCCCCCGGTGGGGTCCCTTCCTCCACTGCCACAAGGGGCCTTCTTTCCTGGGACAATCCCTAGAATCCCTGGCCTCCCTCCCTCTCAACCCAATTCCCCAGGAAAGACCACCGTGGCTTCCCTGCTGGAGCGCTTCTACGACCCCACGGCAGGCGTGGTGATGCTGGATGGGCGGGACCTGCGCACCCTTGACCCCTCCTGGCTCCGGGGCCAGGTTGTCGGCTTCATCAGCCAGGTGCGGGGCCACATGGGCAGCCCTTGGCTCCCACTGCCCGTCCTCCCCTGGGCCCTGCCCCCTTAGTCCTCAGGTGCCTTTTCTTTCTTTCCCACCCTCATCCTTGCTGCTCTCGGGAGACCCTGGCCGTCTTCACATGTCCTCAGCTGTTGTCTGGGTGAGGCATCCCTGTCGTGGGAGCAGCCACAGCTCTGCCTGGTCTCCCAGAGCAGGGACGCTTTGTCCGCATTTACAGCAGTCTACACAGATGGGGAATCCCTCAGATTCTCTGCAAATCCCATAGCATCCAGGTCTAGAGAAGCCTATAGTGGAGGTGCTGAGCTGCAGCCGTTCTCCCTCTGCTTGAGGTGGCACTGCCCAGCGAGGGTCCACCCTTCCCTTTGAGGGCCGTGAATGAAGAGGGCATGCCTGCTGTCCGCCAGGGAGAGTGCCTGTGCAGAAGAAAGGCAAATGCAAGCCCCCAACTCCCAGCGCCCTGCCCTGCCAGCTCCTCCCACTCCCACTCCTGGGGAGGGATTCTGGGCCCTTGGTAGGAAGTCGAACTGTCCTTCCCTTTTGGGGGCCACTCTGCATCCTCACTTCACCTCTGACTTTGAACGTCTGATTCTTCAAGAGATCCTAATCTAATCCACCAGATAGACTGTCCCATTGTGTATGGTGGCCCCTCCAGTTTCTGGGGCAAAGAGAATGTTTCTATGGACTCTGTCTCCATAACCCCTCACCCACAGGAGCCCGTCCTGTTTGGGACGACCATCATGGAAAACATCCGCTTTGGGAAGCTGGAAGCTTCCGATGAAGAGGTGTACACAGCCGCCCGGGAAGCGAATGCTCACGAGTTCATCACCAGCTTCCCCGAGGGCTACAACACGGTCGTCGGTGGGTGCTCGGGTCTGCCGGGAACCAGGTGGTGAGGCACTGGGACACAGGATTCCACAGGAGCAGTGAGCAGCCCAGTGGGACTGAGGGCAGCAGGGACAGCTGGGGAGAAAGACAGTTGTGTCAGGGAAGACGAGAACCACAGCCAAAGGGGACAGAGTCGTTGTGTGGGGACAGGGGAGTCCAGGCCAGTGTGGTTCAGAACCAGCAGACCAGGCAGGCTGCAGAGACAGGACGGGCTCTAGGAGGAGCTGGAGAATGCGACAGAGGGCATATGACAGGCTCCTGGCCAGGGACACAGTGATGCATGGTGTTTGGAGTCCTCACCGAGTCTAAAAGGCCGCCACTTCCCCAGACTGAACAGAAGAAATGGGGGGCTGCCTCCTCTCCACCATCCATCCCCCTCTGGCTCCTGTTTCCTTCCTGTGCTTTTCATCTCTAAAGTCGTTTCTCATTAGAATCGGGGTGACTGGATGGGCCCCAGGAGAGGGCTCTGGTGGTTCTGAACTAGGAACACGCAGCCTGGCACTGCAGGGCGTGCACCTTGCAGCTTGACGTGCGGAGCTCCCAGGTCTTTTTCCAGCCTTCGGGGCCATGTTTCTCGGCCAGTGTCTTGGCTCTGTTGCACAGTGTTTCAGCACTTCTCAGGATACAGGGATACCTGGGCTTCTCAACTCTGGTCAGTCTGAGTCCAGCCTTCTGAGCTGTGGGGCCAGTGTCCCCAGCCCAGCCATCGTGTTCTAGATGGCTCCTCCAGCCGTGTTGATACACTGTCCAGATGCCAGCTGTCCTCACTGGGTGCTCTCCCACATCTCTTTTGGGTGGCACTTTCCTTGTGTCTCTGATCCTAGTACTTTCTGCTCATTTGGGCCTTCTTGGGGCTGCGTCCTTACTGACCTGTCACCCTGCTGTCACCTTGAGGTTCTTTTTGGCTCCCAGGCTGCCACTTGTGCTGTCCTCTGTGGGCTTCGAATCCCACCTCCCTGGAGTCACTGGACCCCAGAGCCCATGTTTGGGTGCTGGATGTTCCCCACAGCCACAGAGACCCGGGAGGCTGGGAAGGTGGCTTGGAACTGCAGGCACAGGGCAGGGTGTGGGTCATCCTGGCCTGAGGCACTGCCATGGCTGGGGAGGGGCATTTGGCAACTCCCTTGGAGTGCACCAAGCCCTGCTGGCGGTGTCACACCACCCTCAGAGGCAGGGCAAGTGTGCACAGTGGCTGAGGGACCCAGAGGTGGGATGAGCCAGTGCAGGGGGAACCCAGAGGAGGAGTGTACACAGTGTGGGGTGGGGGGTCAGAGGCAGGAGGAGGGTGCACAGTGCGGGGTGGGGGTCAGAGACAGGACTAGGGTGCACAGTGCGGGGTGGAGGGTCAGAGACAGGACTAGGGTGCACAGTGTGGGGTGGAGGGTCAGAGACAGGACTAGGGTGCACAGTGCGGGGTGGAGGGTCAGAGACAGGACTAGGGTGCACAGTGTGGGGTGGAGGGTCAGAGGCAGGACTAGGGTGCACAGTGCAAGGTGGAGGGTCAGAGGCAGGACGAGCGTACACAGTGCGGGGTAGAGGGTCAGAGGCAGGACGAGGGTGCACAGTGCGGGGTGGGGGGTCAGAGGCAGGAGGAGGGTGCACAGTGCGGGGTGGGGGTCAGAGGCAGGAGGAGGGTGCACGGTGTGGGGTGGGGGGTCAGAGGCAGGAGGAGGATGCACAGTGCGGGGTGGGGGTCAGAGGCAGGAGGAGGGTGCACAGTGCTGAGAGGGGCACTTAGAGGATCTTGATGGGCGTTCAGGAAGGACCCTGTGCCCCTTTGTGGGCCACCCTCAAGTGCACAGCTTCAGGCTCCTGCCCTGCCCCTCCCTTCCCAGGTGAACGGGGCACTACCCTGTCTGGGGGCCAGAAGCAGCGCCTGGCCATCGCCCGAGCCCTTATCAAGCAGCCCACGGTGCTGATACTGGATGAAGCTACCAGCGCGCTGGATGCAGAGTCCGAGCGGGTTGTACAGGAGGCCCTGGACCGGGCCAGTGCAGGCCGCACGGTGCTGGTAATTGCCCACCGGCTCAGCACTGTCCGTGGGGCCCACTGCATTGTCGTCATGGCCGATGGCCGTGTCTGGGAGGTTAGTTGTCCTGGGGGCGTGGATCAGTGGGTTGAGGATGGCTTCATCACGGACAGTGGCACAATGCTGCAATGAGTTATATGAAGTTGTGGCCTGGCCCCAGGGCCTTGGGGGCTATATTCTGGAAGCAGCGTCCCATATAGAGTCAGGAGTTCCTGCATTCAGCCAAGCCCTGGCCTCTCAGGCCCTCAGTTTCTTCTTCTGTCCCCTGGGATAGTATAATTGCACCATCAGCTCCCAGGATCAAAAGGAAAAGTACTAGCCGGGTGCCTGTAATCCCAGCACTTTGGGAAGCCAAGGCAGAAGGATCTCTTGAGGCTAGCCTGGGCAGCATAGCGGGACCCTGTCTCTACAAAATACCAAAAAAAAAAAATTAGCCGGATGTGGTGGCATGCACCTGTACTCCCAGCTACTCTGGAGGCGGAGGCGGGAGGATTACTTGAGCCCCAGAGGTTGAGGCTGCAGTGAACAATGATTGTGCCATTGCGCTCCAGCCTGGCATCAGAATGAGACCCTGTCTCAAAAAACAAAAAGGAAACATACTCAGAGTATGGTGCTGGGAGCAAGGAGCAGGGCTAGCTGCCCAGGGTATCAGGTGCAGGAGAAGCAGCGCCAAGGAACCTGTGCAGGGAGTCAGGAGTAGGACCCCAGAGGCCGTGTGGCGTTGGCTAACAGCCACTCATTCAAGCCAAGGCTGAGGGGCTCGTGCAGGGAGACGGATCCTGAGTTGGAGCCTTGGGCTCTGTAAGGGGGACAGAGGGAATCATGTTCTTCCAAAATTCAGCTAAGTAAGGAAGTGGCAGTAACTAATGCAGCATGCCAGTGGCGGTTCCTTTCAGATTGGGCATTGGTTTCAGAGTGTCCCCAGAAGGGACACCGGCCTAAGTGACCATGGGCCCAATGGCTGATAGAGAGGCTCAGCTCTCTGAGGGTTCTGAAGCCTGCATGCCTTGGAGCAACCATCCGCCCTTCCCTCCCATCTTCCAGGCTGGGACACATGAAGAGCTCCTGAAGAAAGGCGGGCTATACGCCGAGCTCATCCGGAGGCAGGCCCTGGATGCCCCGAGGACAGCGGCCCCACCGCCCAAAAAGCCAGAAGGCCCCAGGAGCCACCAGCACAAGTCCTGAGAAGGGCCCCCTGAGGTGTGGTCGCTGCCAAGCATCAGTGTTAGGGCTGGGGCTCAGCCTGGGGGAGCCTACTGGGGACTGAGCCCCCAGGAGGGCCAGCATGTGGAGAGTCGCTGCGGCTGCTCCTGCTCACAATAAAGCCGGGGCCGAGCAGCTGGCAGGGGAGGCCAATCCCTCCCTCCCCTCCCCAGTCCTGCCGGCTGCCTCCCTCCCACCAGAGTCTGCCAGAGTCATTGGGCTGCAATGGGCAGAGACAGAGTTCCACGAGACACCTCCACTCTATTCTCCCTTTGCCCAGACCCCTCCAGACCTCTCAAGAGACGTTCTGGCCAGTCTCCCTGCCCCACCCAGCAGCTTCAAATTGGCCAGGCCTACAGTAGCTCCAGGGAATTTTTAAAAATCAGGGTCTGGAAGTGGGCCTGGGAATTCAAACCTAGGCTCTTCCCACACCCTTGCTAGGACCTCACTTCCCTAGACTGGCGACTGACTCCCTCTCCTGTGTCCCCACTCCCTCCATGGGAGAAGGAGCCTATCCCCTGGCTCACCCCGGGACCCACAGTCCCCATCTTCCAAACAACCTCCCTCCTTTCTCCCTGCACAGTGAACACAGTCCTGATTTCTAGATTTCACCTCCCCTCCCCACCCACAAGGGACACAGGCCTAACAGGGCCCAACACTTGGGTCAGGGTAGGAGGGACGGGGCCACAATGGCCAGTTCCCACGAGAAGCGCCAGCCTGCCTGGCTGTCTTCCACCGGCCCTGCCCTGTGTGCCTGGCGTCTTTCACCCACTGAGATTGTGAACCAGCCTCCATCTACACCAAGAACACCCAGCACTGAAGGAGATGGGAGGGGCTGATGCCCACCTGGAGCTCTCTGCTTCCTGCCCACAGTGCTGACGAGTACAGAGCTAAATGGAGCAGCTACTGCAGAATCCAGTACAGAATCGGTCCAGGAGGGTGCGGCTGTGGACAGGCCAGCATCCCCAGCAGGTTCTGGGAGGCGCACCTTGAAAGGGGAAGGCAGACATCCTGAGTGATGGGCGCCTGTGGCCCTGAGACTGTGGATGAGGGGGCTAGGCTCCAGCTGGCTTCTGAGGGGCCTGGAAAGGCACACAAGTAGGTCCTTGGCTGAACTGGTGCCCCAGCAGGACCTCGTGTCCCTGCACTGCTGCAGATGCATCAGCCCTCCCCATGTTGGTGCCGCTGTCACTTCCTACTGGGATCCTTCCCCTATCCAGCCACATCCAGGCTGTGGGACTACACGGTGCCCTGTTCCCCTGGGCAGGAGAAGAGGTGGTACCTGCAATGCACCTTCACAGCCAGGCAAGCATTCTGGATTTACCCTGTGTAAAGAAGGGTGGTACCCTCTTTCAGGGGTGTGATACAGTGCATTGATGGAGCAGCTGGTGCTGCTGGGAGGCCAGCCTGGAAGAGGCAGCAGTGGCTCAAGTTTGCGTGCAGGAGCCAGAGTGGGACCCACGGGCTCTTGTGGGTGTGGTTTAGAACTAGATGGTGCTTTGGGGACAAGCCATCCAAAAACCCCAGGCCCACATCCACCCTGATTTGATATCCCACTTCCTGACAGATCAGAGGCTGTGTCTTTAAGCAGTGGAGGTCCAGGAGCAGAGCCTGGGGCTGGTTCACAGCTAAACCCCTCCTTAGGGCAGCCCAGAGTAGGGCCTCAGCTGGCAAGTCCACAAGCCCTGCTGGGGCCCTGCTTGTTGGCCTGACCCCTCCCTCACCAGGCAGCCAGCCAAGGTGGTTCCTGCTTCACCCACTCAGTCATCAGCCTCAGGCTGCCCAAAATGCCTCTGACACCAGATTTATATCTTCTGGGCGGCTTCTTTAAATCCAGCCCTTCACCCGCCCCCTAGAGAAGCAGTGAAACCCCTTGGCTAGTCCAGCTGGAAGAGCTAGACCGCAGGAGCCGCGCCGTCTTCCTAACCTCGCCTCGGCCTTCGCTCCACAGTGGAGAGTGGGAGCCTAGCTGTGCTTGATGCTGAATGCCTGTTTTGAGAGTGTGAGTGGGATCATCTACAGTAAATACTTGCAAAGCATGGCACTGTGGCTCTGGGGAGCTGGTACGCCTGTGCTGTAACCATGGTACTCAGTCCTTCCAAAGTGTTTATTAATCAAGCACCTGTCATGTGCCATTGAGCCCACGATGGGGAATGAGGACAGTCCCTGCCCCCATGAAGCTTGTGTCCTGTTGGGAGGACAGACAGGTGGCCCAGCAGTTGCAGCATGGTGTGTGCACACGTTTGGCTGGTGGAACCATGTTTCTACCACTCATGGTCAAAAAAAGCCCACCAAAGTCCTGGGAGTTCACATCTGTGTGATGATACGGCAACATTGTTTGTAATGGAAAGACTGGACACCCCCAGTGCCCATCAGTGGGGGAGTCATTAAATAAACTATGGTATGTGCACATAATGGGTGGTATGCAGCCCTTTGGAAAAATGTAGGTTTTCCAGGTCCTGGATATAGCAGCGTAAGATGGGAAATCACAGAATACCCATGTTGTGCCTGAGATGGCAGGTGGGGTACCCGTGGTACCCGGGAGGGTGGCAGGTGGGGCACCCATGTTCTACCTGGGGTGGCAGGTGAGCCCATAACCATTGTAGAGGCCAACATCCTCAGAGGCCTGAGTGTGGGGAGGTAGGCTTTGACTCCCTAGGGAGAGAGGGACACTTAGGAAACAGACGGGCCCTGGAAGTGGGACATGAAGAGTGCCCTGGCCATCCAGTGTAGGCTGAGATGCTAGGGGCACAGAAAGAAGAGATCTGCTGATGCCAGCCTTCCAACCATTTCCCAGCTTGGCCAAGAGCCAGCTCTGGTATTCGTGAAGGAACAGATCCTGGGTGAAGCTAGAGGGAAGGCCGCAGAGGCAAAAGGAGAGAGGAGCTAGGCCAGGGGTCAGCGACTGACCCTCGCGGCCAGTGTACAGGGGTTGCAACTGGGAGCCTAGGGGGCCCCAAGGCATCTCCAGGCCCAATCTACCTCTGGGCTTTTCTCAAGCTCTCCCTAGGATTACTGCGGTTTCCTCCTGGCGCCTCTCGTCTTGGACAGCCATGCCCCCCTCCATGCTGCACTAATGGCTCAGCCTGGGGCCCTAGGGACCTCTCCTACCCCCCAGACTGCTCTGTCGGCCCCCTTTCCCCCCTACTGCTGAAACCCAATCCTCTGCAGCAGCGCCGGCTCAGCACCGCCGGCTCAGCACCGCTCCGCAGCCCCTGCCTGCCACGGTCAGCTACGTCCCACCTGGTCTGCTGCGGAGTCCCCAGCCCAGTGCCTAGCCCAGTGGAGCCACCGCCTGTTCCTCGGGAAGGAACAGTGGGACCTGACCGGCCAGATCACCTCCTCCAATCCTGCCAGGCTAGTGCCTCCCTGCCTTCCAACCTTGGCTGTCTCCCACCCTCTCTTCTCCTCTCCTTGCCTGGCCTCCTGAATCCTATCTTAGCCTCCTTAGCCCCCTGACTGACTCTCTCTCGCTTCTTCCAAGCCTCTGTAGCTGGTTCCGCTCCTGGGTTCTGGCCATGAAGCCCACCTCAGGCCCAGAGGAGGCCCGGCGGCCAGCCTCGGACATCCGCGTGTTCGCCAGCAACTGCTCGATGCACGGGCTGGGCCACGTCTTCGGGCCAGGCAGCCTGAGCCTGCGCCGGGGGATGTGGGCAGCGGCCGTGGTCCTGTCAGTGGCCACCTTCCTCTACCAGGTGGCTGAGAGGGTGCGCTACTACAGGGAGTTCCACCACCAGACTGCCCTGGATGAGCGAGAAAGCCACCGGCTCATCTTCCCGGCTGTCACCCTGTGCAACATCAACCCACTGCGCCGCTCGCGCCTAACGCCCAACGACCTGCACTGGGCTGGGTCTGCGCTGCTGGGCCTGGATCCCGCAGAGCACGCCGCCTTCCTGCGCGCCCTGGGCCGGCCCCCTGCACCGCCCGGCTTCATGCCCAGTCCCACCTTTGACATGGCGCAACTCTATGCCCGTGCTGGGCACTCCCTGGATGACATGCTGCTGGACTGTCGCTTCCGTGGCCAACCTTGTGGGCCTGAGAACTTCACCACGGTGAGCTGACCTCCCTACCTATCCTGCCAGGGACCCAGAGAGCCGACCAGTCCCTGCCCAGCACCCACAATTCCCTAGCCAGCACAGGCTCCCCCAAAGCCAGGGGACCTCTTCCTTCCTACCAGCCATGGACTCCCCACCCCCCAGTGCCACTCCGTGCAGCCCAGGAAGCTGTCCTCCTTGGGGCTTTCTCTGTCTCCCAGCCCGAGGGGAGCATGTGAGGCCACACTGACCCCGGCTGGCCCTAGGCCTGAGGTCTGGCCCAGGGAGGCCCTGCTCCTGGGGCTGGGGGTCCTCCATGGTGGGACCATTCTGGGGCAGAAGACCCCTATCTCTGCCAGGAGGTGGGGGGGGCTTGCTTTCCCTCTGCCTTTTCAACATACTGCCAGCCCCGGAGGACAGCCACAGGGGCCCATTTCCTTTTCCTGCAGTTCCCAGAGAAACACAGAAAAACCTGTAGGCTGTGCCCTGGGCTTTGGTGGGGATTGGCGGGGTGGAGGAGCTGAGTTGATGGGCTCCCAAGAGCGTCCTGCAACATGTGCCCACTGGAGCGTGGGGCTGGGGGCATTGAGATGCGGGCTTCAGTATTCAAAGAAGAGACGCAAACATACCATGAGGTGGGGAGAGGTCCCATGACCATGTGCCTGCCTGGGGGAGATGGCCATCACCCTGTCTGCCCGCCCCAGATCTTCACCCGGATGGGAAAGTGCTACACATTTAACTCTGGCGCTGATGGGGCAGAGCTGCTCACCACTACTAGGGGTGGCATGGGCAATGGGCTGGACATCATGCTGGACGTGCAGCAGGAGGAATATCTACCTGTGTGGAGGGACAATGGTAGGGAGCACACAAATGAGGCTGGGGGAGGGCACGGATGGAGTGCAAAAGGCTAGGGGAAGGAGAGGAGGAGAGGAGGTGTCAGGGTGTTCCCCCAGAACCTGTGAAAGGGGCTGGGCTGGCTCATCCCAGTCCTGGGGAGAGGGGCTGCAGTGAGAGGTCTTGTCTGGTTGGGCAGGAGACCTGACCACACAGGTCAGGCCTCACAGGTCCCTCCCCGACAGAGGAGACCCCGTTTGAGGTGGGGATCCGAGTGCAGATCCACAGCCAGGAGGAGCCGCCCATCATCGATCAGCTGGGCTTGGGGGTGTCCCCGGGCTACCAGACCTTTGTTTCTTGCCAGCAGCAGCAGGTACCCTTCCGTGTGCCTCCACACCTACTACTTCAAGCCCACACCACCTCAGACCCTAAACCCTCAGCTCCTCAGACCTGTCTAGGGGCCTCTCCCCAGCTGGCCTCTCACGCTCTCCGGGAAGCCTCCTTAACCCTGTCCCCCCACAGCTGAGCTTCCTGCCACCGCCCTGGGGCGATTGCAGTTCAGCATCTCTGAACCCCAACTATGAGCCAGAGCCCTCTGATCCCCTAGGCTCCCCCAGCCCCAGCCCCAGCCCTCCCTATACCCTTATGGGGTGTCGCCTGGCCTGCGAAACCCGCTACGTGGCTCGGAAGTGCGGCTGCCGAATGGTGTACATGCCAGGTGAGGGGCTGGGGTTTTCGTCCCATGGCGGGCAGGGCCCAGGGAGCTGAGGCTGCTTCTAAAGCCATCTCCCCGGTACCCGCAGGCGACGTGCCAGTGTGCAGCCCCCAGCAGTACAAGAACTGTGCCCACCCGGCCATAGGTAAGGGCGAGCCTCCCCCACCTCCCGTCCGCCCCGCTCCGCCCGCGGGCGTCTGACGCGGCCCGGTGGCCCGCAGATGCCATGCTTCGCAAGGACTCGTGCGCCTGCCCCAACCCGTGCGCCAGCACGCGCTACGCCAAGGAGCTCTCCATGGTGCGGATCCCGAGCCGCGCCGCCGCGCGCTTCCTGGCCCGGAAGCTCAACCGCAGCGAGGCCTACATCGCGTGAGCTGCGCGGGGCGGGCGGGCTCCTCCGAGCCGGGGGCTCCCGACGGGGCGGAACGGGGCAGGCCAGGCCGTAGCCCTAGTGCGCACAGCCCGGGCGGAGGCAGCCTCCGCAGCCTCACTGGCTCTGGGGCTCCGTGCTGGTTGCTTAATCTTTCTGGCCCCGGGGGATGCTGACGCCTCCTCCCAGGGGTCTGTTTTTTTTTCCTTTCCTTTTATTTTTTAATCTTTACTTTTAAAAAACAGAGACGGCGGGGGGCGGGGGAGGGGAGGGGAGGGGACTCGCTGTATTGCCCAGGCTGGTCTCAAACTCCTGGCCTCAAGATCCTCCCTCCTCATCCTCCCAAAGTGCAGGGAGTACAGGTGTGAGCCACCGTGCCCGGCCTCTCCCAGGGTTCTTGAAAGGAGTGGGAGAACCCACAGCTGCTTCTTGCCAGCAGTGGGCACCAGGCGGTGGCCAGCCCACATTTGAGGCCATTCTTGTCCTCAGGGAGAACGTGCTGGCCCTGGACATCTTCTTTGAGGCCCTCAACTATGAGACCGTGGAGCAGAAGAAGGCCTATGAGATGTCAGAGCTGCTTGGTGTGTGTGCAGGGCCCCCAGGGCTGGGGGGGTGTGGGCAGGCAGGTGGCTGTAAGTTGAAGGGTGACCCTGTCTCCACAGGTGACATTGGGGGCCAGATGGGGCTGTTCATCGGGGCCAGCCTGCTCACCATCCTCGAGATCCTAGACTACCTCTGTGAGGTGGGCCAGGGCCCCCACTGCAGGGGGTGGGAGGTGGGAATCAGGGCCCCTAGGATGAGGGGGAAGGTGTGCACTGGCCACCTCCCATCCTGCTTGCCTCCAGGTGTTCCGAGACAAGGTCCTGGGATATTTCTGGAACCGACAGCACTCCCAAAGGCACTCCAGCACCAATCTGGTAACAGCCCCTCTTCTGGAGCCCTTGCCTGCTCCAAGGGTGCTAGGGCCCACCCCTGAAGCCTAGACCACCATCCCGCCCCAGCTGAGGAGAAACAGGCAGGAGGGTGTGCAGTGACCTCGACTGGTCCCTGGGAGGAGGACCACTCCCCACCTCTGACCCTCTCGTCCTCACACAGCTTCAGGAAGGGCTGGGCAGCCATCGAACCCAAGTTCCCCACCTCAGCCTGGGCCCCAGGTAACACATAATGGCCCCCTAAAATCAAGGGAGGGCAGGGGCAGGCTCAGGACAGTGGGTGTGCCCGTTCCCACCCCAGCACTCTGCTCTGTTCCGAAGACCTCCCACCCCTCCCTGTGCCGTCACCAAGACTCTCTCCGCCTCCCACCGCACCTGCTACCTTGTCACACAGCTCTAGACCTGCTGTCTGTGTCCTCGGAGCCCCGCCCTGACATCCTGGACATGCCTAGCCTGCACGTAGCTTTTCCGTCTTCACCCCAAATAAAGTCCTAATGCATCAGCCTCAGCTGTTTCTCTTACAGGGCAGAGACTAGCCAAGCCAAGGTCAGCCCAACTTAGGCATTGGAAGTCTTCTGCCAGCCATCATCCAGCTGGACGTGGCTTCTGAAATGTGGAGCTGGGCCCTTGAACCCCCATGAATCTCTAGGGGAGAATGGTAGCAAGAGGTTATCAGTCATTTGCACCTCAGTGTGAGTGAGTTTAGCCGACTGACATCTTAGAGAGAAGGGAGGACAGGTATCCTCCAAGCCCGGGTTAGGTGTGAGGTGCAGAATCACAGTCAGCAATAAAGGTATAACTGGAAGAAAACTCTGCCCAGAGCTCAGCAAGAAGAGGCAGGGAGAAGACGGGGTGACTCCACTTTCAAGAACACCTGTGTCCTGCCTTACATCCTGACTCCTTTCCCACATTTGGGACCAAGTGCGGCACACAGCCTGTCTCCATACAAACAAGTTCTGCCTCCTCAGCCTCCCCACAAGAGCTAAAGGCCCCAGGCTTGAGACGGTGGGGGTGGGGGTGGGGGTAGGCGGAGCCCTCCCTTCCTCTTCCTGCCAGTAAGGACACACCAGGCCCCAGCCACAGGCCCAACTTCCCTCTCTTTCACTGGACCCCAAACATTGGGAAACTGACAAATAGGGAGTGGGAGGGGGTGTTCCTGATGGAACCATATCTTTGGGGCTCTCCTGTGCCAGCCTGCAGGCCTTGGTATGGGGGGGATGATGAGGGAAAGGACAAGAGGATCCACCTGAGATATGGAGAACCACAAGGAGAGGCCCAGCCCTTTCCTCTCCACCCTGGTGGGGAGCCCATCCTTGCTCCCCTCACTCTGAGGGACCACATCAGGCCCTCCTGGGCAGAGGAAGGGAGGGTGGGAGGAAGGGGTGTGCAGCGACAGTGCTGCCCTGCCCCAGGGGTGAGGGGTGAGGGTCATGGCCTCTTAAAGTAGAAGAGCAAGGTGCTGTCTTTGAGCCAGAAGCAGGATTGCGGCCGGCAGTAACAGACCAGAGACACCTCCAGCCCATGGGCCCTGTAGAGCCACTTGACCACCACATCAACCAGACTGTGGGAAAGGAGCCAATTTATGAAATTAAATAAAGTCCACAAAGGGAGTGAGAAATTCGGGCTCAGGCACCCCACCCCGGCTGGGCCCAGCACTGCTGGAGCACAGCGCACCAGGCACCCCCACTGTCTCACCCCTCTCAAGAGGGGGCTTAAATAGGCCAGGCCCCAGCCTGGAGGCCGGGGGTCCCGGGGCCTAGGGCGGACAGAAGTCGGAGAAGTAGGGGTGCTGCAGGGCCTCTTCTGCTGAGATACGCTGGACAGGGTTACACTTCAGAAGGTTCTGGAGATGGGGGAAAGGAGGTGGCAGGTTCAGGACAGGTCACTGCCCAGAGCCCTGCCTTCCTGTAGTCCCACTGGGCAAGTGTCCTGACCCACCCTCTACCCCTGGTCACCTACCTGCAGCAGATCCCTCCCTGTGGCATTGAGTTTGGGCACGACGTTCACCAGGGATGTTGTGGCCGGGTACATCGGATAGGGCTGTGGAGAGGCAGGGAGGGTCAGACTAGAGGTAGGGGGAGGGGGATGGAGGCGCTAGGAATGTGAAACGAGTGACCCTGATGAACCATGACCCCCACATTCCCCATCACACCTTATAGTCTGGCAGCTTGGTCATAGAGGGCCACTGCTCCTCGGTGGGCGTCCCCAGCAGTGTGTCCACGGAGTCAAGGATCACTTGGGAAAGGGCCACAGCTGCATCTTCAGGGGCAGGGTGAGGGCCTCTTCCCCTCCTGGGGAGGGATTCCTCATACCCACCGCCCACTTCTCACCCTCCCTTTACCCTCCGGCTTGAGCTTGACAGAAGCAGCCCCAGGCAGGTCACTCGCATATCCAGCCACGTTTCCCATGACAATCACCTAACCCACATGCTGCTGTCCTAGTCCTAATGAAACAGTCCTTGCCCTGCTCCCACAAAATGTGTCCTGTTCTCTTTGGCTCCTTCATCCTGGCATCCATCTCTCACCTGGAGGGACACCCTCTCGGCTTCACCCCTCAGGGCACGCTGCCTGTCTCCAAGCCACACCTTCTCCAGTGTGCATTTGCACTGTGACAATCAGGGTGTCCAGCACCCCTGCTCTCTCCCCTTGCCCTCAGGAGAAGCCCTACAGACCCCATCACCCTACCCCACACCATCACTGCCCTCACCCATTGTGCTCAAAACTCCATGGACTCTCCCCTCCCAGAGGGCTCAAGGCAGAGGAAAGCAAGGATATCGGAAGATCCTCTTCAACTGGTCATCGACATCATTGCCGGGAAAAAGAGGCCGCCCAGCATTGGCCAGCTCTGGGGGATAGACAGGGGGCTAAGATGTGACATGTGAAGGACCCCTCACTCTGAGGTACCCCCTGACCTTCCAGCTCCAGTCCCAGGGCCTCCCTCCCTTCCCCCAGAGGGGACCCTCCAGACCCTATTTGTCAACTCAAATGGGAAAGAAGGTGCCTCTGCAACACCCCAGCACATCACCTGCAAAGATGCAGCCGGCTGACCACATGTCGATGGACGTGGAGTACAGCTTGGCCCCAAAGAGGACATCCGGTGGGCGGTACCACAGTGTGACCACCTGGAGGAGACCCCCCCCGAAAGGGACCTCCCACTTAGAGGACTGGGGAGGAGGTTTGAGGAGGAGGCTCAGAGAGGAGAGGAAAATAATGTTTTGGGTCCTGGGGTTGGAGCTGAGGGACTCCCTCCCCCAATCCCATATCCCATCTTCTAGCTCACCTCAGCTGAGTAACAGCGGACGGGAATCCCAAAGGCTCGAGCCAGGCCAAAATCAGCCAATTTCAGCTCCCCATTCTGAAGGGAATGGGAAGGGGACATGGAGAAGGGCCTTTAAAAAGCCTTGGGACAGCACCAACTCCATCCTCCCAGTCCTCTTCCCTCTGTGCTCCCCGTGCCCTGGCCCCAGCCTCTCCATTCCCCACCTTCTTCCCAAGAAGTACCCTGTTTATTAGCAGGTTCTGGGGCTTCAGGTCCCTGTGTAGCACATTGCGGCTATGACAGAATCCCAGCCCTTTTAGTAGCTGGAAGAGGAATGACTGGGAGGAGAGAGGGAGAAGGGAGTCAGACGCCCTGAACATGCAACTGTGCCCAGCAACGGGTCGGCTCCTCTCCTCACCCTGTGCTTCGCTCCACCCCACCCACCTTTCAGCACCTGGTTCAGAGTGACACCATTCATTCGCCATCCAGGACCTGCTTTATACTGTGCTAGGCATTAGAGGGACCAAAGTAAAGAAGCTGGCTCTGGTCCCCACCTTCCTGGACCATACAGCCTAATGGGCCTTGGCAGGTGGATCCTAGATCCGGCCTAGATCCCAGCCCATGCTGATCTTCCCTTCCTGGCCGCATCTGAGTATGCACGCCGTGAACATCAACATAAATATCGTGCTGTAGTATCATTCAGGACTGGCTCCCCTGGAACCTGGACCAAGGCATTTGGTCTTGGGCCTAGAAAAGCACCTGGCACACAGTGAAGCATTCAGTAAGTATGTGTTGAATGAATGAGTGTATCTCCTTGAACCTCATTTTCTCATCTCTCGAGTGTAAATAATATCACTGACATCAGAATGACACTGTGCGGGTCAAAGATGACCACGTGAAAATGCTCACTAAGACTGGAGACCCCTGGAGGACAGAAACAGGGTTTTCTCATTCTCTAACACCCTAGAGTGTCCCTGTTCAGGGCCCAAACTTAGAGCCCAAGGGGTGCTTACACCGAATGCAGACTCCGACCCCAGCCTGAGGGGTCCCCCAACACCACTCTCCTCACCTTTACAATCTCAGGATCGAGGTCACCATTGCAACTGTCAAAATACTTCTTCAGGTCCTGAAAAGGGATATGAGTGGGGGAATGGGACAGAGTTTAACCTCAATCTGGGCCCCTATACCTTCCCAAGGCTACTGTCCTCCAAACCCCGCCTTTCACCTGGTCACAGAATTCAAAAACCAAAGTCAGCTTCTTGTCGCTGTGCAGGACGTCATGAAGCCTAGGGCAAAAGAAGGGCTCAGCCAGGCAGGTCCGCCTGACAGACGTCCAGTGTCAGCCCCCGCCTCCCCCAAGCGGCCACACCGGCAAGGAGCACCCGCCTCCCGCACACCTGACGATGTTCTTGTGCTTCAGCTCCTTGAGTAGGCAGATCTCCCGGAGGGCGGAACTCGGCACACCCTGCATATGTGAGGGGGCCGGTGGGCAGCAGTCAGATCCCACCCAGCCCAGGCCCTCAAACCCCTCCCCAGGCCGTATCCCACTCCCCAGTCCTACCTCATCATCGTCATCCAGCCTCACCCGTTTCAGAGCCACGATCTCATGAGTCTCCCGGTTTTTGGCCTTGAACACAGTTCCGTAGGTGCCTAGGGGAAGGAGGTCAGGGGTCAGGGTGAGGATGCGGCACTCTTCCCTAAGCCAGGAAATGCCTCCTGAGAGAGGTGAAGGCAGCGTCTCAGTATGCAAGGGAAGGGATTCAGGGTGAAGGTAGGTTGGTGAGCTTTGTGAGTGAGGATGTGGCAGGTGGGGAGGGAGGAGAAGGTGCCCACCGAGGCTCCAGGGGCTCGGCAGGAGGGGCGAGTGCGGTTGCCAGGGCAAGGATGTCTAAAATGAAGGCGGTGCTCCGGAAGGGTCTGGAAATAGTGAGGAGGGGTCTGGGAGAGGACTGAGGGGCTGCAGAAATATTGAGGTTGGAGGTCTGCAGCAAGAAACGAGGCTGGGGGTCGGGGTGAGGTTGTCCAAGTGCTGCTGAGGCTGGGGTGAGAAATTTCAGGAAGTGTCGCGGTTGGGAGGTCGGGTCTACTGGGAACGCTAAGGTTGGAGTGAGAGCCCTGCGGGAAATGCTAACACGGGGAAGACTGGTGTCTGCACGGAGTGCTGAGCTAGGGGGCCAGGGCTGCAGCCGCTGCTGAGATCGGAGCCTGTAGGCATTGCTGACGGTAAGGGAGCCAGGGCTTCAAGGAATGCCGAAGGATCTGCAGAGGAGCTCTTGCAGGAACATCTCGAGATTCCATTACCTTCCCCAATCTTTTCCAGTTTCTCGTATTTCTGCATCGCGGCGGCCGCGGGGACCCCTGCGGGCCCTCGGTTTTAAGACTCTGGCCCCGGCGTTGCAGAGGAGGCGGCACCTGAGCCTCCAGCCCCGCCCCGTCTGCCCGCGCAGGGCCTTCTGGGGCTTGTAGTCCTAAAACGACTAGGTCTCCCCGCAATGCCCGAGACCGAGGACAAGAAGACTACAACCCCCAGCCGTCTGCGCTCACGCTCTCTGCAGCACTCGACTCCAGGGCTCCGTTTCTACCGCGGAGGCAAACCTTGGACTTCAAGTCCCAGGAAGCAACGCGTGTCCGTTTTCCGGGCGCCCCGCCGCGGCGCCGTGGTTCCCAGTGTGCCCCGCTGTTGTTATTCCTTTTATGTGCTCCCAGCCCTCTTGAAAAGGGCCGCTCCGGGACTACGCGTTCCAGAATGCAGCGGAAATGGGGGCGGAGCGCTCTCGGTTAGGGGTTTGGGGTTTGGCGGCCTAGATCCCGGGCACTGGCGGCCCAGCGCTGACCTGGTTGGTGGCATTGTGTTCCCAACGGCCTCTTGACGACCTCAGCACGGGTTTCCACCTCTCCCCAAGCCACCTAGTGACCCCAGAATTGACTGGGGAATGCCTGTGAGCGATGATGACCTCACAGGGAACAGCTGACCGCAGGGCTGGGAGAACAGCTGTGCCCCTTCGAGGCTGGATTTTAGTGGAGGGACACACGCCAAAGACCCCCTCTCTGCTGAGCCCCGTTTGTTGTCTCGGAGCCCACCCGACTCTAGCCGCTGAACTCTGACATGCTGAGGAAAACTGGGTGGAGCCCTGGGGGTCCCCCTCAGACCCCAGTCTCCGGAACAGGGCCCACTGGAGTCAGCCAGGGTGTGGCAGGCAGGTTGGTTAACCCCCTCCACAGACAAGACCACAGACCGATGCTCAACTTGCAGCAGCCTCTGCCTCACCCCTTAAAGGAGCTGATTATAGATTCCCTTACGCTGCCTCTCTAATTGTCTCATGATTGCATTCTTGAGGGCTATGGACCGAGGGAAAAGGATCCCAAACAGCACTCCTCAGCACCGGAACCAGAGTTGCTGCTAAACACGTGTTAATTAACTCGTTTCTATCTGAATGCTTTTGCATACACAAGGGAAAAGAAGCAAAAAGTGTATTCCTTATCTGGAAGACTTTGTGATTTCGTTGGGCAAAAAAGAACTACACACAAAGGTCTTGAATGATAAGTGATGGCTCTGCCTAGGGTTCGGTTCAGTGTGGAGGTTCCATTCAAGAGGAAGGAGGCCAGCACAGCGAATCTCTGTCCCTCTCTGGAAGTGGAGAGCCTCTAACAAGTTACCCTCTCCCAGATCAGCTCAGGGTACCGGGCGGCCAGCCTCCAGCCCCTGTCACCCTTCTCACCCACTCGCCACCCGTCCCTCAGGGGCTTTCTTGGAGGCACGGGGGTTATTGAGGGGGGCAAGAGAATCTCAACCCCGATACGTTTATGTTTCGACTTCCCCGAATTTCCTTGTGCCTGCGTTTTGCTGCCTGGGATCCCTAGCGTGAGAAGGGCTCCTTTACACTCAGAGGTGCCGTAATGGAGCCAAGGGACGGCATCCTCGGGGCTCCCGAGCCCCGAGTGGAGAAGCTTGGGGCAGAGGGACGGCGGGGGCGGCCCCTGGTGCCGGGCTGTGCCTGGAAGCGCGCCCCCGCCCCGGCCCCCGCTCCCGCCTCCCCACCCGCGAAGGCGGGACCGCGCACGGTGCGCCGGGGGGCGCGCACGCAGGGGGCTGGCCTGCCCGCGGCGCGGGGGAAAGTTGAGTTGGGAGAAGTTGGGAGCGGCGGGGGCGCGCCCCGGGGTGGGCACGGGGCAGTCGTCGGGAGCGCGCGAGTGCGCCGGAGGACGGGGAGAGACCCCGAGACCCCCGGGGCACGAAGTCCAGAGCGAGCGGGTAGGCGGAGAGGTGGTGGCGGGGGACGGCCAGGGCCGCAGAGGGAGGAAGGGAGGGGGAAGGAGAGGGGGGAACTCGGGACTCGAGCGGGGAGGGAGTGGAAGTGGAGGAAAGGGCGGAGACTGGGGCGCGGGGAACCGCGGTCTTGGGGAGAAGGATGGGGAGGCGGATGGAGTGCTGGTCGGAAGCGGGCATTCCGGGGTCCCCTTCTCAGAGTTCCCTAAAGCCAGGGTGCCGCGCCCCCTGCCACCAGGAGGGGGTAGTCTCCCCGAGGCGCCGCCGGCCCTCCCACTCCCCGGCTGGCTCCAGACCACCCCTCCCCTCCGGCCCCCCCGCATAGTCCTTCAGTCCCGTCCGGGGCGCCCAGACTGGGGGTTGCCCGGGGCCCCCATCCCCAATCTCCGGGTTGAGAGGCGAAGCCAGGAAAGGCGGGTGGCGGGTAAGGTCGGACAAGGGGTCAGACAGAAGAGGGAGCAGCTGGGTGGGAATGGGAAAGATGAGCCCGGAGAGTTGGACCTGACTCCCGGGGTCGGTTTGTCCAGGCGGGAAGTTCTGTGCTGGGTGTGAGAGGCGGCACTGCCTGAAACCCAGGGTCTACTTTATCCCCCTTCGTTTCCCCCGCCAGCCCCACATGGAAGAGCTGCGGAATTTACGAGTTCACTTGGGGGGTGGTTAATGCCCAAGTGGGGGTCCGAGGTGCTAATCCCTTGGTCAAGGGGAGAGATACTAATCCTCTGGGCCGGTCGGGGCTGGTCCCGGGAATGTGCCCCTACCCGGATTATCGGCACCGATGCTCTGGACAGAAGCTGCTTTGTGTTCTGGGACAGCAGGGGAGGGGGTGCAGAGGAGTGTGGAGGAGCGCGACGAGGGCACAGCCTGAGGTGGGAGTGGGCGCCTGCAGGTGCTCTGGGCGGACTCTCCCCACACCCTTCCCAGACTGGGTGCACTCACGCTCACCCACACCACCCGCCCTGGCTGAAGGCCTGCTGAGGGGGAGGGGAAGAGCGTGGTTAGCCAAGTTGGAGTGCTTGCCAAGAATGTGTTGCCAGGCTCCCCATCCTGGGTGACCCCCCCAGACCTATATTGTTTGACGCTACACTGACTTGTCTTACTCCTAAGTCAGGCACCCCCAGTCCCCAGCAACACACTGGGAGCATGGGTTGTTGGGTACCGTCACTTTTTGCCAGTCTTGGGTGCCCCCTGTGCTGACCCGCTAGGAATGCGCCCCCTATTTGCAGGGATTGGGCTCCCTCCTGCAGCTCCTTCTCTGCCCCCACCACACAGTGTCCTCCCCAGACTCCCTACAGTCACAGTCAGGAGGGTGGCAGCACTGCCACTCAGATTTTCCTGGCTCCAGGCTCTAGAGGGGCGGGATCCAGACTGCCCCTCAGAGGCAGAACCTCAAGGTTGCGGTGCCCACCCCCTCCCAGCCCATCACATGCCCCTCCCCCATTATAAAGCTCTGCCCAGCCCATGCCCACCTTCTGTGCCTTCCTCTCTCTCAGTGAGTGAGTGGAGTTGAGCTCCTGCCCTCCACCCAGCCAGCCTGCTTCCCTCCTGCCGGTCCCCAAGGACCTGGGGGAGGGAAGCCTCCTGCCGGCCTGTACTGGGGAGGGGGCACCCCCTCCCTGCAGGGGCATCTTGGGCTCTCTCCAGAGTTCTTCCATTCGTCTGCTTCCTGTCTCGGCAGCCCGGCCCCGGCTCCACGGGGTGTCTCACCCTCCCCACCACACCCTCTCTGGTCTCAGGCCCACCTCTGGTGGGTGCCCTGACCCTGCGAGGCTCCGTTGTCTGCCTGGGCCTTCACTCCCCTCTTTCCCCAGCTCATTATCACTCCCTCCCTCATCTTTGTTGCTTTCTCTCCGGGCCTGGGCCTTGACTCCTTTCTCCCTCATTTTTCTTGCGGCCTTTCCCACCTCCTCTCTCCTCCTCCCTCTACTCAGCCTCTCGGCCCTTTTCGGCCCCCCTCGCCTCAGTCCTCTCCTGTCTCCTTGTTCTTCTCTTTTCTTCCTATAAATAACTCTCCTCTGTGCTGTGGCTGCCGCTAAGGGCCACTCTGAGGCCCTTCATACTCCAGGAGGATCCCCAGCAGCGCAGCCTGCGCGTGGTGGCTCCTGCCCTCCCAGGGCTCTCGATGGTGATCAGGCCTCTCCCCCATCCAGGTTATGCCTCCGCCTCGTTGCCCTGAAAGCCGCAGCGACAGCGAAAAGGGCTAAGATTCGGCCATGAGCAGCGCCCCTCGGCGCCCCGCCAAGGGCGCAGATTCTTTCTGTACGGTGAGTGTGGCCCCCAGGTCGCCAGCCCAACCTTCCCTCCCTGGGCAGCCTTGGGTGCTCCGGCCAAGGGTCCTCGCCAACCAGGGGTGTGAGCGTGTGTGAGTGTGGAGACTGGGAGGATGCTGCCATCCCTACCCTGACTTTGCATGATGGTCGTAGGGGGGGATGGGTAGTGGGGGTATCAGACGTCTTCCAGTCCTGGGGAGGGAGTTGAGGCTGTTACCTGAAGACCTAGGTAGCTTAGCCTCAGCGGTTGAGGAACTTTGAGAACCCTGGGTCTCTCACCCAGCAACCCGTCTCAGACCCGGCTGGCCTTAGAGGCGCAGGTCAAGTCTGCACGCGGGCCAGGGTTCTGGGCGGAGCTCGCCTGCCACGACTGGCCACGCCCCCTGCCCACGTGCCACCCAGGCCCGCCCCTCCCTGCCCCCACGTGGCCACCGCTCCACATGGCCCCCTTTGGATTTTCCTAAGGAGTCTTAATGATTAACCCCGTGCCACAATCAGCTCCGCTATTGGTCACACTGGCCCAGAGGGGCACGTGACTGGGAAGGGGCACAGGCTGGTCCCCTCCCCCTCCTTCTCAGGTTCACCCCTGCCGGCCATGGACTTCCTCCTGCGGCCTCAGGTGCGAGGGGTCTGCGACCCTCTCTCCCCATGGCGGCAAGCTCCCTGCGCCTCTCCCCGTCCCCTCGTCCCACGGGGCTGCTTCTGGTGGGAGTGGGGCTGGGCGCTTAGGGGAGCCAGGAGATGGACAGGAGCCTTCCTCACAGAGGGGAGAAGCCAGCCCCCTGGCCCGCTCACCTTCTCTTATCCGGTGTTCTGCCAGTCCCAGCTGCTCCAGTCCCCACCTCGCCCCTAAGACCCGCCCTTCACCCCAGCCCTCCCCGCGCTCTTCCTTGTTCTGGCTGCTGGCACCGCTATGGAGGGGGCTGCATACCCCCGCCCTTGGAGATCCCGATGCCCTTCAGGTCCAGAAGCTCTTGAGCAAATATTTGGCGGCGCCTGGAGCTGAGACCGTGGGTGGGTGGGGGGCTGGACCAAGGCTGCCTGGCCAGGCGGCTGCCGCTTAGCTGGGCTGAGCTCTTACAAGCGCCGCATTCCCTGCCGGCTGTGCCGGCCGGCCGCTGCTCCGCGCCCGCAGGATGACTCAGGTGGGGGCTGTGGGGGTGGGGTGAGGGGTGGGGCTAGGGACCTGGCCCAGGGCTCGGGCCGGGGGCCTGGGGGCTGGGGGAGCTCTCCTGGGGGCTGAAGGGCATCCATTCCGGTCCCTGCGGGGCTGGGTTTGTTTGACTCGGACAGGCTCTGGGTCGGTTAGCTTGGGCGCCGCCAGAAGTTACTTTTTGGGCTCAGCAGTTGTCCTCAGGCCAACTGGAGTTTCTTCACTATCTGTCATGTGAACTTCCCGGTTCACACGCCCTCCCTCCAGGCTGCAGATGGGCTGGACACACGGGATTTCTTCCACCTGCCCTGAACTGACTACACAGCCAAGGGGGCTGGGCTGGGATGAGGGTAGCTCAGAACCCAGGGGACAGCTGCTGGGGGGACTGGGTCTCTGCATCTGAGGGGGCAGACTGCTGGGGGGACACTGGGTCACTGTGTTTGAAGGGATGTCTACTGGTAGGGTGACTGGCTTCCTGCATTTGAGGGGGCAGACTGCTTGGGAGGACTGGGTCCCTATATTTGTTTCCTTTTTTTTTGTTTTTGTTTTGAGACGGAGTCTCACTCTGTCACCCAGGCTGGAGTGCAGTGGCACGATCTTGGCTCACTGCAACCTCCGCCTCCCAGGTTCAAGTAATTCTCCTGCCTCAGCCTCCTGAGTAGCTGGGATTACTGGTGTCCGCCACCACGCCTGGCTAATTTTTGTGTTTTTAGTAGAGATGGGGTTTCACCATGTTGGTCAGGCTGGTCTTGAACTCCTGACCTCCAGCAATCCACCCACCTCAGCCTCCCAAAGTGCTGGGATTACAGGTGTGAGCCACTGTGCCTGGCCTGGGTCCCTATATTTAAGGGACAGCTGCTGGGGGCATATAGAGCCACCAGCATTAGAGGAGATAGCTGCTGGCGGGGGAGGGTTCCTGGGTCTCTGGCACTGGGAAGGGTGAGGTTTCGGGGTACAATTCCCAGTGAGCCCTGTGTGTTTTCTCTCTGCCTTCTTCCTCACAGCCAGAGCCAGAGAGCTTGGGCCCTGGGACGCCTGGGTTCCCCGAGCAGGAGGAAGACGAACTTCACCGCACCCTGGGCGTGGAGCGGTTTGAGGAGATCCTACAGGAGGCCGGGTCTCGTGGAGGGGAGGAGCCAGGCCGCAGCTATGGGGAGGAAGACTTTGAGTGTGAGGGGGCAGGCAGGGGAGGGGGAGGTGGGGGGATCAGGTTTGACTGTCCAGCAAAGAAGGGACTGGGGTCCTAGTGGGAGGAGTGGGGCTAGGGGGCAGGATGGCAGGGGAGGGACACTGTGCCTGCCACAGCCAAGTCCCCCTCCTCCCTGCAGACCACCGCCAGTCCTCCCACCACATCCATCACCCACTGTCCACCCACCTGCCTCCGGATGCACGCCGCCGCAAGACACCCCAGGGCCCAGGACGGAAGCCTCGAAGGCGCCCGGGAGCCTCCCCGACTGGAGAAACCCCGACCATTGAGGAGGGGGAGGAAGATGAGGATGAGGCCAGCGAGGCTGAGGGGGCCCGGGCTCTCACTCAGCCGTCCCCTGTCTCCACACCCTCCTCGGTGCAGGTGCGCTGGGTGCGGGCTCCTAGGGCATGTCGGCAGGGCCCTGGCCTGGTCACTCCTGCCCATGTGGGTCCCTGTTACAGTTCTTTCTCCAAGAGGATGACAGTGCTGACCGGAAGGCAGAGAGGACCAGTCCATCTTCCCCTGCACCACTGCCCCACCAGGAGGCGACTCCTCGGGCCTCCAAAGGGGCCCAGGCTGGGTAAGTACACCCCAATCAACAGTGTCCCCAACAGACACTTCCCCTGCTAGGATAGTGAGGTGATGCTGGAACAAAGCATGAGCCTTGGAATCACCAGGCCAGGGTTCAAATCCCAGGCCCGCACTCACTGGCTGGGCAAGTAACTTAATTAAGCTCTCCAAGCCCCAGGTTCCTCATCAGAAACCAAGCATAACAGAACGTTTCTCACTGGGCGGCTGTAGGGATTAAGGGTGGTGTGAATTAAAGTTCTAAGTATGGTTTAGCCTGGCAAAGAACACGCGCTGCCTAAGCTGCCTCCCACCCCTGCCCGTCTCCCACCCCTGCCTGTGGTGTAGTGGGAGCAATAGCCAGCACTGGCTCAGGTACTGGACTGGTGACCTCCCAGCACTTGCTGGAGGCCCCAGGGTTCAAGAGGCAAAGGAGACCCCCTCTCCTTGGGGCACTGCCAACACACGCTGGTTGGAAACCAGATGTTATCATGTGAGATGGCATCAGCATGTTGTCACTGCACCCAGTGGCTGGTTCAGGCAAAGTGTCAGTACCAGTGGATGATTGGCATTTGGGGGAAGGCTTCCTGGAGAAAATGACTTTGAACTAGGTCTCAAGGTCACTACTATCACGGACCTGTTGTTTTCTGGGTGCCAGGCAGCGTGAAGGGCTGCGGGAAGTGAAGGGCATGTTGTCCCCTCTGGGAGCGCATAACCTGCTGGGACCGTGGCACAGATGCGGGCGGCGGGTTACAGCGGCCTTAGGGGCGCCAGGATGGCAGGGAGGAGGCTGGGGCTTCCGAGAAAGCCTGGCATCAGGAAAGGGTCGGGTTTGTGGGCCAGGGCACGTGGGGGCTAGGAGAGCCTGGTCATGGGAGGGGACTCTGATGTTGAGTCAGAGCTTGGAGCTCTGGGGGCTCTTGATGTTGAGAGAGAGGGGTAGGACCACGTGGCAGGGCCCTGGCCACCCAGTGTGGCAGAGAGAAGGGAGAGAGCAGAAGCTGGCGTCTGTGAAGCCTGAGGCTTACCCCTCCTCCCAGGGCAGGAAGCTGTCTGCCATCTCCAAGGCCCGGTGCCACGGACTTTATTCCTCTTGATTAAACATAGGCCCCTGTGAACCTCTGAGTCCCATGTCTAGGGATGTGCCAGGGGGTGAGGGGGCAGGGGGATGAATGCTGACTGTCAGGAAGCAGCGTCCTGAGCTCCTTTTCTGCACCAGGACCTGCACTGGGACTTTTCCAAAATCTCACCCCTCATGGCACCGCCAAAGGCTGGTCTCAGCCCTGGCTGCTGAGGAGCAGTTGACGTTCGCAGTGGCCGTTCAGAGGGGCCTCGGGGTGACCGTTTGGGGCTGCACAGCCAGAAAAGGGTGGAGCTGGGGTTCGGATGCTGGCAGTCTGCATCCAGAATCCTCCCCCTCCCCGTGCCCGCACCTCCCGGGAGTGGGAGCTAGGAGGGCCTGGAGTCCGATGTGGGTCCCCTCCCTGGCTACCGCCTGCGTGGGTGCTGGGCGTGGGGGAGGAGGCCAGGTTTCTCGGGCTCACGGCCATTCTGTCTGCCTAGAACCCAGGTGGAGGAGGCGGAGGCGGAGGCGGTGGCGGTGGCCAGTGGCACTGCAGGGGGTGACGACGGGGGTGCCTCGGGGCGCCCCCTGCCCAAAGCCCAGCCTGGGCACCGCAGCTACAACCTTCAGGAGAGGAGGCGCATCGGGAGCATGACTGGGGCTGAGCAGGCACTGCTGCCCCGGGTCCCCACGGATGAGATTGAGGCCCAGACGCTGGCCACGGCCGACCTAGACCTCATGAAGAGTAAGTGCTGGGCCTTGGCCAAGCCCGGCACTGGTGGGCAAAGGAGTGAGAGAAAGGGGGAGCCCAACCTTGGTCCTCTGCCCCCACAGGTCACCGGTTTGAGGACGTTCCTGGGGTGCGGCGGCACTTGGTGCGGAAGAATGCCAAAGGTTCCACACAGAGTGGCCGAGAAGGGCGGGAGCCTGGCCCCACACCTCGGGCCCGACCCCGGGCCCCCCACAAGCCCCATGAGGTACCATGCTCTGCTTCATGCTCTTCCATCAACTTCCCACACGACCCTGCCCCTACCTCTCAGACCAGCTGTAATCTCAAGCCTCAGGGTTGCCACTGTTGTTTTGTTGTTGTTTGAGACAGTCTCGCTCTGTTGCCCAGGATGGAGTGCAGTGGTGTGATCTCAGCTCACTGCAACCTCTGCCTCCTGGGTTTAAGCGATTCTCCTGCCTCAGCCTCCTGAGTAGCTGGGATTACAGGCACCTGCTACGCCCAGCTAATTTTTGTATTTTTAGTAGAGATGCAGTTTTACCATGTTGGCCAGGCTGGTCTCCAACTCCTAGCCTCTAGGAATCCGCCCGCCTCGGCCTCCCAAAGTGCTAGGATTACAGGCATGAGCTGCCGCGCCGGGCCCAGGGATGCCACCTTTGGTTGTGAAGGTTGTACACTGCACAAGAGTGCAGTATACACATCTTAGAGCTTATTGACTTGGGCACTGTGATTATACTCCCCATGGTGGATGTCGTTGATTTGAGTATTGTGGTTATAATTCACGTCTGTTAAAAGGCCTGCAAAACGCCATTGCTTTCATATACAGTGGCCATTTCTCAAGTGCTCACTCTGAGGCACGTAGCGTGCCATGTGCTTTTCCTTTTCATCCTTCTGACAGTTCTTTGAGGTGGGTATTATTCCCATTTGACAGATGAGGGAAACTGCGTCTCATTGGTTAGTCAGTTGTCCAGGGTCCCAGCTGGCTGTGGGACTGGTGCGCCTGTGCACCACCCACTGTGCTCGTGCTCTCCAGGGTCACTTGGCTCCCTCTGACACCACTCACCTCTGACACCCACCCCAGGGCTGCCTCCGGCTCTGTACCCTGAAATGCCTTCTCTTCTCTCCCCAAGGTGTTTGTGGAGCTGAATGAGTTGCTCCTGGACAAAAACCAGGAGCCCCAGTGGCGGGAGACAGCTCGCTGGATCAAATTTGAAGAGGACGTGGAGGAGGAGACTGAGCGCTGGGGGAAGCCCCACGTGGCCTCCCTCTCCTTCCGCAGTCTCCTGGAGCTCCGCAGGACCCTGGCCCATGGTAACCCCGCTCCCCTCCACCTCCCGCCTGGCCAGTCCCCAGGAAATTCTCCCACATGGCCCCAAATCTGTCTTGAGCCCCACGTTGTGTGACAGCCCCAGAGCCCAGAGGAAGCATGGTCCACACCCAGCTCACATTTGCATTTTCGGCCAGCAGCTTCTTGATATTCTCAGATAACAACTGAAGCCGATGTGTTTTGGTTGCGAAAATGTTCGAGAAGCTATTTAGATGTAAAGCTTTCTGAAATTCCTGGCATGCCTTGGTACCATCTTAGAGATTCTGTGGAATGTGATCTAATCTGCAGCTGTGTAGACCTCACGAAATGACCACCGACCACAGATGCAGGACTTCCAAGCCCTGTGTTTGCTTGCTTGCTCCTTCCCAATGAGTGACCACTCTCAGTTGTTGTTAAAAGGCCTGTTTCTAAGCAGCTGAGGTTCTGTGGTTTGAGGCAGCCTAGGAAAAAAATTAATTTTTTTTTTCGAGACAGGATCTTGCTCTGTTGCCCAGGCTGGAGTACAGTGGTGTGATCTTGGCTCACTGCAACCTCCACCTCCCATGCTCAAGTGATCCTCCTGCCTCAGCCTCCCAAGTAGCTGGAACTACAGGCGCGTGCTACCATGCCTGCCTAATTGTTTTATTTTTAGTAGAGATGGGGTTTCACCATGTTGCCCAGACTGGTCTCAAACTCCTGGGCTCAAGTGATTTACCCGCCTCAGCCTCCCAAAATGTTGGGAATACAGGCATGAGCCACTGTGCCTGGCTTAAAATTAAATTAAAAAAAAAAAAGTAAACGAAGCAGCTGCTGGGCGCGGTGGCTCATGCCTATAATCCCAGCACCTTGGGAGGCTGAGGTGGGTGGATTACGAGGTCAGGAGATTGAGACCATCCTGGCTAACAAGGTGAAATCCCATCTCTACTAAAAATACAAAAAATTAGCGGGGCACGGTGGCAGGTGCCTGTAGTCCCAGCTACTTGAGAGGCTGAGGCAGGAGAATGGTGTGAACCTGGGAGGTAGAGCTTGCAGTGAGCCAAGATCATGCCATTGCGCTCCAGCCTGAACGACAGAGCGAGACTCTTATCACCAAAAAAAAAAAAAAAAAAAGCAGCTGAGGACCTAGAAACCGGCTTTTAGAATTGTTTCCCAACTAGGAGTCCATAGGCCGTGAGTGAGGCTCAGGGTCTTTGGGTAAAGGGCCGCCGTGGAAGGGCTTTCTCACTGGGCGTTGTGGTCTCCAGCCTGGCTGCTCAGGGGTGTTTGGTTCTGTTTATTCTTTAGTCTTTGTTCCTGAAAGTTGGCCTTGCCAGATGAATGACCTGGTAACTTTTGAAGGGACTGTTATTTCTGTGTGCAATGGCGAGGGGAGGTTGAGAAGCCGACAAGGAAGTCAAGAAGCTTGGGGCGGAGGGGGGTCTTCAGATGGCTCCAGGGTGGCCACACGGACGAGGCTGCAGACCAGCTGAGTTGTGTATCAGGGTAGAACTAGGCCCCTAGAGTGACACAGCACCTGGCTCACTTAGAGGAGAGTTTTCTAACAGCCAAGAGGGTTCAGCCAGAGTGGGCGGCCTGGACCGTCCCCATGGAGGCCGGATGCTTCCTGGAAGGGGTGTCTGACAGGCGTGGCCTAGATGGCCTCTCTGGTCACTGAGGTTCAGTAGTCTCTGTGGAGCCTCATAACGTTCCTGGGGGTCTGGGGGAGGGGAGGAACCAGAGGGTTGATGTGACGTAGGCTCCTGTGGGAGCCAGAACTCGAGCCCGCGTCCTTCATGTGTAGGCTGGTGTTCCAGCCCCGGCACCCACCCACCTGTCCCCAGCTCCTGCTCCCCATCCCATCTCCTGCCACTGTTTTGTGACCTGGGGCTGAGGGGCCCTCTGTGCCATCTTATGCTAGGGGCTGTGCTCTTGGATCTGGACCAGCAGACCCTGCCCGGAGTGGCCCACCAGGTGGTGGAGCAGATGGTCATCTCTGACCAGATCAAGGCCGAGGACAGGGCCAACGTGCTGCGGGCTCTGCTGTTGAAACACAGGTGAGGCCCTGTGGGCCAGTTGGGGATGACACTTCAGCCCACCTGCCCTGGCCCTTGTCATTGACCCTCCTTTGCCTCACTGCCCTCTGCCCCACCAGCCACCCAAGTGATGAGAAGGACTTCTCCTTCCCCCGCAACATCTCAGCTGGCTCCCTGGGCTCCCTGCTGGGGCATCACCATGGTCAGGGGGCTGAGAGTGACCCCCACGTCACCGAGCCTCTCATGGGAGGTGTTCCTGAGACCCGGCTGGAGGTGGAGCGAGAGGTGAGGGGAGAACCAGCCCTGCCTGGGCTGGCGGCAGGGCTGAGGAAGCCTGGGTGTGGACTCAGAGTGGGAGGGGCCTGGCTGGGCTGAGCCCTGTCTGTGTCCCCCAGCGTGAGCTGCCGCCTCCAGCACCACCAGCTGGCATCACCCGCTCCAAGTCCAAGCACGAGCTGAAACTGCTGGAGAAGATTCCTGAGAATGCCGAGGCCACGGTGGTCCTTGTGGGTATGTGGGGCAGGTCACATGTAGGGGGCTTGGTGGCCAGGCCTTGAGGCAGAGTCCTGTAGTCTCCCTGGCCCTGCCTTGGTGCCACCCTGGGCGAGGGACTGGAAGGCGGTCCTGCTGCTCTGCTCTTGCCCACGATGGTCCCACGCCCCTAGGCTGCGTGGAGTTCCTCTCCCGCCCCACCATGGCCTTTGTGCGGCTCCGGGAGGCTGTGGAGTTGGACGCAGTGTTGGAGGTGCCGGTGCCTGTGCGTTTCCTCTTCCTGCTGCTGGGCCCGAGTAGTGCCAACATGGACTACCACGAGATCGGCCGCTCCATCTCCACCCTCATGTCAGACAAGGTCAGCTACCCTCCTCCTCTGGGCCCTGCTTCCTGGAGCCCATCCTAGGCCAGTCTTGATCCCCATGACTGCCTCCCACCCACTGGCCTTGCCCACCCTCAGCTCCAGGCCCTCAGCCCTCTTCTTTGTGCTCTCCCCCATCCCCATGCTGCTTTGGCAGCAATTCCACGAGGCAGCCTACCTGGCTGACGAGCGGGAGGACCTGCTGACGGCCATCAACGCCTTCCTGGACTGCAGCGTGGTGCTGCCGCCTTCAGAAGTGCAGGGCGAGGAGCTGCTGCGCTCTGTGGCCCACTTCCAGCGCCAGATGCTCAAGAAGCGAGAGGAGCAGGGCCGGCTGCTACCTACAGGGGCTGGGCTGGAGCCCAAATCTGCCCAAGATAAGGGTACGGCCAGGGCGGGCTGGGGCCAGGGCTGCCTCGAGGGGGTGAGGTGGGCAAGAGGGGCTGGGGCGCCCTGACGGAGGCCTGGGTTGCAGCGCTCCTGCAGATGGTAGAGGCGGCAGGGGCAGCTGAAGATGATCCCCTTCGGCGGACGGGGCGGCCCTTTGGGGGGCTGATCCGAGATGTGCGGCGCCGCTATCCCCACTACCTGAGTGACTTCCGAGATGCACTTGACCCTCAGTGCCTGGCCGCAGTCATCTTCATCTACTTTGCCGCCCTGTCTCCTGCCATCACCTTTGGGGGGCTGCTGGGTGAGGAGAGCCTTCAGGTAGGGGGCGGCGGGGACTGCCCAGGGCCTGGCCACCAGCTCCTGAGCTGGTTCCTACACCCCTAGGAGAGAAGACGCAGGACCTGATAGGGGTGTCGGAGCTGATTATGTCCACAGCGCTCCAGGGCGTGGTCTTCTGCCTGCTGGGTGCCCAGCCCCTGTTGGTGATCGGCTTCTCAGGGCCCCTGCTGGTCTTTGAGGAGGCCTTCTTCTCGGTGAGGGCTCTTCTCGCCCATCTCCAGCCGCCCCTCCCGTGCCCTAGACACCTCCCCACAGCATCCCCACCCAGAGCTCAGGACCTGACTGCCCCTCCCTCCAGTTCTGTAGCAGCAACCACCTGGAGTACCTGGTGGGCCGTGTGTGGATCGGCTTCTGGCTGGTGTTCCTGGCCCTGCTCATGGTGGCCCTGGAGGGGAGCTTCCTGGTCCGCTTCGTCTCCCGCTTCACCCAGGAGATCTTCGCCTTCTTGATCTCACTCATCTTCATCTATGAGACCTTCTACAAGCTGGTGAAGGTGGGCAGGCCCCTGCCGAGAGCTGGGCCAGGAGGGCCGAGGTCTCAGGGCTGGAGGGAGTCTCTTGGTCCCATCCTCTGGATTTGAGGCCAGGCTGGTCTGGAGCATCCCCGGGGCTTGTTGCCAACACGTATACCAGGGCTGCAGATTACTCTTTTAATTAATTAATTAATTTGAGACATTCTTACTCTGTTGCCCAGGCTGGAGTGCAGTGGCGTGACCTTGGCTCCCCGCAACTTCTGCCTCCTGGGTTCAAGCGATTTTCCTGCCTCAGCCTCCCAAGTAGCTGGGATTATAGGTGTGCACCGCTATACCTGGCTAATTTTTGTAATTTTAGTAGAGACGGGTTTCACCGTATTGGTGAGGCTTGTCTTGAACTCCTGACCTCAGGTGATCCACCCACCTCGGCCTCCCAAAATGCTGGGATCACAGGATTTAGCCACCACACCTGGCCTTAATTTATTTTCAAACAGCAACTCGAACTAGACAGATCAATCTTTCAAAAACTCATACTTTTATTTCTTTTTTTTTTTTTTTGAGACAGAGTGTTGCTTTGTCACCCAGGCTGGAGTGCAGTTTTGGTGCAATCTCTGCTCACTGCAACCTCTGCCTCCTGGGTTGAAGTGTTTCTCCTGCCTCAGCCTCCCAAGTAGCTGGGATTACAGGCACACGCCACCATGCCCGGCTAAATTTTTTGTATTTTTTTAGTAGAGATGGGGGTTTTACCATGTTGGCCAGGCTGGTCTTGAACTCCTGGCCTCAAGTGATCCGCCCGCCTCGCCTCCCAAAGTGCTGGGATTACAGGTGTGAGCCACTGCACCCAGCCAAAAACTCATACTTTTATTTTTTAAAAACTTCTATATTTAATGGCACAGTGGCGCCATTAGAGCTCACTGTTAGTTCAAACTCCTGAGCTCAAGTGATCCTTCTGCCTCAGCCACCCTAATAGCTGGGACTGCCGGCGGGCCCCACGCCTGGCTAATTTTTAAATTTTTTGAAGAGGCCTGCCTAGATTGCCCAGGCTTGTCTGGAACTCTCCTGGTCTCAAGCAATCCTCCTGCCTTGACCTCCCAAAGTGTTGGGGTTATAGGCATGAGCCACCAGGCCCAGTCCATCTTTATTTTATTTTATTTTATTTTATTTTATTTTATTTGTTTATTTGTTTTTTGAGACAGAGTCTTGCTCTGTTGCCTAGGCTGGAGTGCAGTGGCCCGCCTCACTGCAACTTTGGCATCCCAGGTTCAAGCGATTCTCCTGCCTCTGCCTCAGCCTCTCGAGTAGCTGGAATTACAGGTGCCCACCACGCCCAGCTAGTTTTTATATTTTTAGCAGAGACAGGGAAGGCTGGTTTCGAACTCCTGACCTCAAGTGATCTGCCCGCCTCGGCCTCCCAAAGTGCTAGGATTACAGGCGTGAACCACTGTACCCGGCCTGTTTTTTTATTTTTAAAAAATACATTATTTTTAATTTGGTTTTAAAACTCACATTTTTTAATAACAAAGGTACATGCTTTTGTTAAAATGTCAAACAATCCAGGAGTGTAGAAAGGGGAAAGGCTCCAGAGGTGACAGTCAGTCTGGGCATCAGATGTGTGTGACAGGCCACTCAGTGGTCCTCTGTGCTCATGTCCTCTTCCTTTAGGCCCCTGGATCCTCTCTGGGCCTGGCTGGTGCCACTCACCACTGCCTTCCTGACTTATACTAGCCGCTTGGTCTTTTCTGCCCCACACTGCCCTGTGCTCACAGCTGGTTCTCTGGGTCATTGTCTTAATTCAACAAGACAAGCTCCTTGAAAGCAGGCCAGCCTTTCCCCTGCCCCACCCCTTCCACCCGACACTCACTGAGCCCCAGGAATCTTTTCTGCAGTCCAGCTGATGGAGGCCGTGTGGCCTCCTCTCCCCAGATCTTCCAGGAGCACCCCCTGCATGGCTGCTCAGCCTCCAACAGCTCAGAGGTGGACGGCGGTGAGAACATGACATGGGCCGGGGCAAGACCCACGCTGGGGCCGGGCAACAGGAGCTTGGCTGGGCAGTCTGGGCAGGGGAAGCCCCGGGGCCAGCCCAACACGGCCCTGCTGTCGCTGGTGCTCATGGCCGGCACCTTCTTCATCGCCTTCTTCCTGCGCAAATTCAAGAACAGCCGGTTCTTTCCTGGCCGGGTGCGTGGGCTTAAAGGCCAAGAGGGGGTTAGGGGCAGGAAGGGGGGTGGCAGGAAGTCAGCGGCTGTGGTGGCAGGACTCTGAGCGCTGTGCCTGCCCACTCAGATCCGGCGGGTGATTGGGGACTTTGGGGTGCCCATCGCCATCCTCATCATGGTGCTTGTGGATTACAGTATTGAGGACACCTATACCCAGGTAAGGTGCTGCCCACAGCAGGCAAGTGCTGCTGCCTCTGCCACCCCGGGTCTAGGTGTTCCCCTCCAGCCTCCAAACCCAGCCTGTCCTTAAGCTTAAGCCTGTCCTTAAGATGCCATCCCCTTTCCATGGCATGCCCTCCACATTCACCTTAACCCTTGTCCCTACACTGTGTCTGCCCTGCAGAAGCTGAGCGTTCCCAGTGGATTCTCGGTGACTGCCCCAGAAAAGAGGGGCTGGGTCATCAACCCCCTGGGAGAGAAGAGCCCCTTCCCTGTGTGGATGATGGTTGCCAGCCTGCTGCCCGCCATCCTGGTCTTCATTCTCATCTTCATGGAGACACAGATCACCACGTGAGTGGTCCTAGCCAAAGGGGTGTGAGAGGCCAGAGCCCCAGGCCAGGCTGGGGAACTCAGCATGGAACCTCCAGCCACACTGGGCAATCCCAGGGACCTCAGGGAACCTTGGATGCCCAGATGGCCACAGTTTATTCTGTAGACAGCAGAAAAACCCCGATGTTTGCTGGGACAGGAACAGCACGTGGAGGGGCAGGCCACCCTGGCAGTGCTAGCTGGGAGCTGTCATGGACGATAAGGGCTGGGGGCCCAGGTTTTGCTCTGTAACGGAATTTGAATCCTGACGGAATGGACAGGGACCGCCAGGTTCCAAAGCCAGATGGAGGGACTGGCTGGGCATTCTGGAAAGACCCTGTGGTCTGCGGAGCTGAGTCCAGCCTGGGCCTCAGCAGCACCCCTCCCGCTCTCAGGCTCATCATCTCCAAGAAGGAGCGCATGCTGCAGAAGGGCTCCGGCTTCCACCTGGACCTGCTGCTCATCGTGGCCATGGGCGGCATCTGTGCCCTCTTTGGCCTGCCCTGGTTGGCTGCTGCCACTGTCCGCTCTGTCACTCACGCCAACGCGCTCACTGTCATGAGCAAGGCTGTGGCACCTGGGGACAAGCCCAAGATTCAGGAAGTCAAGGAGCAGCGGGTGACGGGGCTGCTGGTTGCCCTGCTTGTGGGTACGTTGCCTCTTGCCTTTCCCTTCCCAGTGGATTCCCCAGGGCTACTGGGGCCAGGGGACCCCGGGGCCAACTCTTTCTCCTGCGCCTCCCGTAGGCCTCTCCATAGTTATCGGGGATCTGCTCCGGCAGATCCCCCTGGCCGTGCTCTTTGGAATTTTCCTGTACATGGGAGTCACCTCCCTTAACGGGATCCAGTTCTATGAGCGGCTGCATCTGCTGCTCATGCCGCCCAAACACCACCCAGATGTCACTTACGTCAAGAAGGTGAGCCCCCCAGCTCCCCACCGGAAGGGGTGTGCCTCTGGCCATCCTGGTCTACTTGGGTCACTCTCCAGCTGCCCCCTCCCATCTGCCCAGTTCAGCCAGCCCCCACCTCCTCTCTGTACCAACCCAGCTCTGGCACCTAGGAATGTTCTTCCATCCCCGCCTCCGAAGAAGAGAGAGGCTCTTCCCAGCAGCAGGCTAGGGAGGAAGCTGGGCTCACCTGTCTCCGCCCCCCAGGTCCGGACCCTCCGTATGCACCTGTTCACGGCCCTGCAGCTGCTCTGCCTGGCCCTGCTCTGGGCCGTCATGTCCACAGCTGCCTCCCTGGCCTTCCCCTTCATCCTCATCCTCACAGTGCCGCTCCGCATGGTGGTGCTCACCCGTATCTTCACCGACCGAGAGATGAAATGTGTAAGCCCTCCCGTCTGCCTCCCCCGGTTCCTCTTGCCTCCCTGTGGATCTGGAAAGGCCCCCCCACTTCCCTTCTTGACCGCCACCTCCCCACACACAGCTGGATGCTAACGAGGCAGAGCCGGTGTTTGATGAGCGGGAGGGTGTGGACGAGTACAATGAGATGCCCATGCCTGTGTAGCCGCCACCGAGGGACAGCCGAGGGACCGATGGACGAGGGGACAGGCTGGTGGGATGGGGTTCCCCCTCCCATGCCCCTCCCTCCTTTTTATTTAAGTGAATAATTTAAAGTCTTCTCCTCCCCCACTGCCCCTGCAGTAAAGTGCTTTGGCCCCCACCTATCTGTGGCCTTTTGTCTTTGTATGGGGGGCGGGGCATGAATGGAAGAGGCGGGGGACTCAGCTCTGCTCCCCGTCCCAAAACTGAGATTCACAACGGGGAAGGAAAGGAACTTTAATGAGAAATCAAAACACAGGGAACCAAAGTGCAAATCATCCACCCCCCATGGGGGGGCCATCCTGAACCCCACATCAACCCCTCAGCCCCCTTCAGGCCCCCAGCGCAGGCCCAGGGCCTGGAGCTTCTGCCTCAGGTAGCTCTTGAGCTGGGGCAGGCCTCTCTGGGACTCCAGTTCCTCGAAGGGTAGCTGTGGGGAGAGGAGAGGGCGGCAGGTTACCCGCAGGCTGGGAGTGAGGATGCGCCACGGGCCAGGCCAGGGCCACTCACCGGCAGGAGCTGGTAGCCCATCAGGCCTAGGTGCCGCTCCCTCAGGGCCCTCGAGCCCAGCAGCACCCGGCCGTCCCGGCAGAAATGCCAGCGTTCCCGCAACACCAGCACCACCCTGCAGGGGGAGGGACGTGGCTCAGGGCATGGCGGGCAAGGTGGCCAGGGCTCCCCCACCCTGCCTCCTTTACCTCTGGGCAGGGTCTCGAGTAGTGGCGCTAGAGGCAGCCTGGCCCTGTGGGCAGGACCTTGGTGGGTATGGCAGGAAGGGGTCCTGGGTCCTCACGGGAAGCACAGCACCAGAGCTGCTGGCGCACAGCAGGAAGTCTGGAGGGGAGCAGGGCCGGCGGCCTTAGCCAGGGCTCCGTCTCCCCGGGCCTGCCGCCTGCCCCTTGCTCACCTGTGCAGTAGCCTGGAGGCACAGTCAGGTCCTGGCGGTATTTCTCCTCCCCCAGCAGCTGGCGCAACCCCTCAGCTACTATGTCCTTGTGACTGAGGAGAAAGGACACCAGTAGCAGGAAGGGCCCGGCACCTCATCCTAATCTGTCCCAGTCTAGTGCCACCACCCTGGGCAAAGCCCTCTGCTGCTTCAGGGCCCAGTTTTATGGTGGCCGAGAGCTCCTTAGCTTTGGCGCTTCATGGTCCCTCTGGCTTTTCCACTCTGCTGGTCCCAGGCTGGCCCCTCCCCTTGCCCCAGGCTGCCCCATCCACCTGTACTTGCAGCGGGCACGGTCGGTGATGAGAGGCTGGGGAAAGATGGGCACTTGCTGCCTTCGGGGAAGGCGGGGACCCCGGTATCCTGGGAGCTCCAGCTCCACGGCCGTGTCCAGCAGGGAGAGGTAGCGACGCACAATCAGAGCATGAGGGGTGCCTGTGGGGAGGCGGGGACTGGGGCTCTGGGCTGCAGGCCACCCTGCTCCCCTGCCTCTCCAGCCCTCAGGGGCCCAGCCAGCCATCCTGGCTGCGTACCACTGATGTAGTTGATGAAGCCAGGGGAAAAAACAAAGTGCAGGGCTCTGAAGGGCAGGCACCGCAGTTGGCACAGTGACATCAAGATGTTGACTGTAGCCAGGGGTGCCACCCCTGCTTCCCGAGCCAGGATCCTCTCAAGGCAGGGCATAAACTGCTGTTCCAGGGGCAGGTAGTTCAGTCGCCCAAAGGGCAGGACCAACTTCTGTACCACCTGTGGAGGAAGAGCAGTTCATTACCCAGTGTCAAGTATTTCTGCAGTCATCTTTTACAAGCTAAGCCTTAGAGAGGCTTAGCCCTCAGGTTTACAACACTGCTGTAAAGACAGGACAGTCCCTCCGGCCTCACAGTTCAACAGCAAAGCAGTCACGAGCTGCACGTGACTAATCACCAGACAGGCAGAGGGGACATCGCTGTGGGGTCTGGCCCTGAAGACTTCGAGAGGGATGGGTGGAGCTAGGATGCTGCTAAGAGTGCTTTGGGAAACTGCAGATTTCCAGGAATGCATGCTGCTGACAGGAGGTGGGCAAGCCACAGAAAGGGTGTAGAAAAGATGCAGGTCCCAGGGGACAGAGAGGGTGTGTCTGCTTCAGGAAAAGGATAGCCGAGCTGCACGAGGCGCTGGGCCTGACAAGGTCCCTGAGAATGACAGAGATGCACTGGAGGGTGGGTGGCAAGCCCACCTTGCTGCTGAGTTGCGTTTCCTGAACCACCAGGAAGTGGGCAATGGCTTCCAGAAGCTGGGGCTCCCGCAACCGGTGCCGGGCCAGGTGCTGGGCCAGGAGCACCATCACGTGGGGAGTCAGTTCCTCTGGCCTTGCCTCTGTGAAGAGCAGCCTGTCACGCTGGGCCTCAGCCGGACCTCCGGCTGGCTCAATTCCACCTCAGCCCAGCCAACTGAGCCCACCTTCCTCCTCCTGTCAGCCCTCCCCACCCCCATCTGATTTTAACCCCCTCCAGCACCTGCCAGGCTGCTGATCAGATGCTGCCGTGGATACCGCAGAAAACGGGGGCAGCTTAGAGCAGCTTCCAACCCTTGCCCACCTCGGAGAAGGGGCTGCAAAGGGGGAGGTGGCTTCGGAGGGAGGCGGAGCCTTCGCTCCTGTTCCAGGGCACACACCAGGGGACCATCAGATGGAAAGCCTGAGGGGGAGAGGTAAAAGGCAGCCTGGTAACAGAGCTGTGCTGCTGTTCTTATCATGGGGTTACTTGGTGAATTCTCCACCTTTCTCCTCTCCCGTTTCCTGAGCGGGAAGGTGTGCTAGAGTTTAAGTGCAAACACTAGAGACATGTAAAGTATCATGTGGCTATGAGGTATCGAAACGGTTTGTAGGGAGTACATACAAAGATGGCAAATAGGCTTTCATCTCATACCAATTGTGACAAATTATGGTGGCTTCCTAGGGCACTCTATTAGCAGGAATCTGGGGTGGCACCCTAGCGAGGCCGGAAGGAGTGCGTTCGACTCATGATGTCTGCCGCAGACATAGGACGGGAGCAGGAGCAAGCGTTCCTGGGCAAACGCCTGAGAGGCTGGGTCTCTGTCCGTGGTCCTCTACTGTTCTCCCTATTCTTCATTAACACCTAGCCCCCCAGGCGCCCACCTCAAGCCCCTCCTCACCAAGTAAGACTGCAAGGTGCAGACACACGTGGATGGTGTGAATGTCAAAGGAGGGGCAGTTTCGGATGATGAGCTGACTCAAGTCCTGCAGTGTGACCTGCTCCACAGGAGGGGGCCGTGGCCGAGACCCCAAGAGCTGGCCCAGACGACGAAGCGCCACCGAGTAGTGGTGGGCGCGCACCTTGCTGGGGTTCTGGCCCAGCCAGCGCAGCAGCTCCCCAGGGCTCTTCGCCTGTTCCAGAAGCCGCTGCAGTCCTTGCACAGGACCTGCACTGGGGCCTCCTCCAACAGGCCGGTCCCCCCATTTGCTGGGCCCCAAACAGCAGGGCTGTACTGGAGGGATCAGCAGCAGGCCAGACAGCCGAGCAGGGGAGGTCTGAGCAGAGAGCAGGACTCGAAGCATGGAGTTGGGTGATGGAGACCCTGAGGGGCAGCCCAAAAAAGGGGGTGAGGTTTTCTCCAAAGGGGAGAAAGACCTGCTACCTACTGCTTACCTCACTCCTCATTTAGGGGGCCTGTGGTCAGAGCAAGCCTTTGTGACTGCTCTGGGCCTCTTCCCCACCCCGCCCCTCTGCCTCCTTCCACGCCTTTGAAACAGCAATCATAATCCTCAGTGCGCTCAGCGCAGCACTACTTGCAAAGCAATTCCACATGCACCATCTCTGATGCTCCTTACACGCCCATGAAGAGTAGGCAGGGCTGGCATTACCTCATTTCACCGGTGGAGAAACGCAGGCCCAGAGCAGCGAAGGGGTTAAGTTAAGCCCGAGGTCATTAACCGGGTTAGTGGTCGCGCCCAGTCTGGAGCCCAGGCGGCACCGGCGTGCACTCTCCCGACCACCTCCCTCTCCCACAGGAGGCGGCGGCGGCACAGAGGGTGGAACGCGGGCTCCGCGGCTGGACGGTGCTGGGTTCCATGCTGGGCGCTCCCACTCACCAGCGGCGTGACCTTGGACAAGTGGCTTCGTCTCTCTAAGTCTCCTCACCCGTGAAATGAAAACGCAGCGCCCACCTCGCAGGGCGCGCGTGGAGCCCGAGTGCACCGCTTTGCGATGGCGCGGAGTCGGCGAAGTCGGGGGCCCCAACACCCACCCCGGCCCAGGGACGCCAGGAGACCGTGGCCGCTGCCGCTAACACCAGCTCCCGCTGCCCTCCCGCAGCCCTCCCCGCAGGCGCCACCCCTACATGACTCCCCGGGCCCTGCGCAGGTCGCTCCCTCAGTCGGTCTCGGGGCCCGGGGGCCGGGTTCCCCCCGCGGCCTCCTCATCGGCTAGCCACCGAGTCCGCCATCTTCCCAGCAGCCCCTAGATAGCCGCCCGGACGCCAATCCCGAAGCAGCTATCGGTCTTCGGAGACGTGGCTCCCGGCAGGCACTGCGAGCCAGGGAGCCGCGAGCCCCGCCCGCGGGAAGTGCGCGCCCGGCGCCGAGGGCGGGGCCACGGAGGCCGGCGCCAAAGCCAGAGCAGAACGCTGGGGAGAAGGGAAGGCGGAGGGCCAGACCCCAGGCGCAGTCCGTGCCCTTCTCTCCCAAGGGGCGAGGACTCCCCGCCCGCCAGCCCGCACACACTCAGACACACTGCAAGAGTGAAAACTTCACAGTTACTTTAATCTGCACGGGTTCCGGGGAACTCCTCTGCCCCTCCCCGCTCCCCTTCACCAGCCTCCCACCGACCTGGCGTCCCCAACTCAGCCCAAGGAGCTGTCAGGGATTGGAGGCGGCTGGGTCCTCCGGCAGAACACTAAGACGGGCCCCCGGGGCGGCCCGGCTCTGCCCGGGGCCGAGGCAGCGACAGCAGATGCCCGACCCCGAGGAGCCCACTCCCAGTGCGGGCTGAGGGTCAGCAGCCCCGGGAGGTGGCCCCGAGCCCCGGCGGTCGCAGGGCGGGGCCTCCGCCAGTCCCGGGAGTCCTCTGCGGCGCAGGGCTGGGCTCCAGGGCGGCGGGAAGAGGCAGGCCGGAGAGGCGGGCCTGGGCAGGCAGCAGCTCCCGCCGCGGCGCGGGGAGCAAGGTCCGGAGGGGCCGGCGACGCTGCCAAGCGCCCGCGGAGGCACTACGGGCGGTACATGGCAAAGGCCAGGAGACTGAGGAGCAGGGTGAAGCCGGCCAGGCCCAGAGTGGCGGTCAGGGGAAAGAAGGGCCGGTACTGGATCTGGCAGTACCAGAGCAGCAGCAACAGCAGGAGCAGCAGGGGCAGCAGCAGGCTGCCGATTTCCAGCCCGGAGGGGCCGGGCTCGGACCCCGGCGGGCAGGGGGGATTTGGGGGACCGACTCTCGTGGACACGTGGCAGTGGAGAACGCAGTTGGGAGGGAGGTGAAGGCTGCCCAGGGTCTGGGTGTCGTCGCCTAGCAGCTGCCCTTGGTAGATGAGTCGCACCTGCTGTTCCCGGCCGGGAAACTGGGTCCTGAGGAGAGAGGGACCTGGGTAAGAGAGCAGGCCTCAGGCAATCCTAGTCCCTGGCCCCGGAACAGCACTCCCACCCTCCCCCTGCCCTCCACAACACACCGGCCCTGGCCTGGGAGGGGCCGTCTGCCAGGGGAACAAGTACAGTTGTGATCTGGGGCGCTCAGCGCCTCCAGTATAAAGGAGGGCTGGGTCTTAGGTGTCTCTGGGGGCCTTCTGCGACCACTCTCCCAACCCCTGTCTTTAGCATTGCTCCTGCCTCTTGACCTACTTACCTTTTCAAGGAGCCAATGGTGTCGTGGGGCCAGGCCCTGGCCACCTGCTCTGAATCATTGAGGAATTTCAGCCGTAGCACGAGGGGCTCCTGCGGGGAGTCCGGGGCTGGCGGTGTTGCTGTGAACCCCGTGCTGGGCTCTGGCTGTGCAGCTTGACCTCTGTGTCTCAGGCTGGGGGTCTCTGCCCCTGGGGCCTCCCCTCTCATGCTGTCGGTAGCTGCCATGGCTGCGCTGGGCTGGGATGGCGTTGGGGTCCCTGACGGCTGGGGCAGTGGGTCCCCGCCCTCAGCGGTGTGCGTTGAGACCCAGGCAAGGGCCAGCACCAGAAGGCAGGCAAGCACCGAGAAAAGGACGGTCACCTCATCACCCACCCCTTCAATCAGGGTCATGGCGCCTGCCTTGCCCGCCGCGCTACCGAGCTGGAGAGGCACAAAGAGCCCGTGAGGCCCGGGCCCCCTGGCCAGGAGCCCTGGAACCTCCACAGGGTCCTGCCCTCACCCCACCGCGACGCTCCCACCGTCCTCAGCCTCCGTCCCCTCACCCACCCCAGGGTACCGGCTTCTCTGCCTCCCAGTCGCCCCAAACTTGCCTCCGGGTGCCCCTTCCCATCGCCGAATCCCAAGTCCTAACTTTCTGTCATCTGAGCTCGAGGTCTTCAACCAGCTCCCAACTCACCCAAACCCTATCCCAAGGTAAGGGCCTAAGCAACGCCTCTCCTAAACTTCACCCCAACCAAACTTCACCCCCAAGCGTATCTATTCTCCTGCCCACTTCACCCCAGTGTGTCTACTCCTTCACCGACTTCACCCCAGGCTCATCTACTCCGCTGCTAAAGTTTCTAAGAGGTGGGGGTAGAGCCTCTGTGCCCCCACCCCCGCCCCCCGCGTTACGGTTCACCTAAACCCCACCCGCGGCACAGGACTGCTTCCCAGGCTTCCCCCACAGCAAACGTCAAACTCCGCCCCTGGGCAATCTGGAGCCACCGAGCGTCACCACCCACCCAGCTCGGCCCCCTCCAGGTCCCCTCAACCCCACTCCGCGGAGGACTAACTCCGCGCCTCCTCTGGAAGTCTCTCCAAGCCCCCCGGGCTGCCTGACCCCAGATCCCGCCCGGAATCCGAGACTTCACGTTCCCCACCCCCACCTCTCATCACCCCTCCCACCTTCCCGCCCCCCGAAGCCGCAGGAGGGCACGGCGATCCCGGCCCGACCGGGGCCCTGGGCGGCGGGGTGGGCGCGGTCACGGCGCGGGGACTCACCGCCCGGCTCCCCCAGCTCCATCGCGGCCCCTCGGGCACTTCCGGGCGGGAGGCGCGGAGGTCGCAGGCACCTGAAGCACCCCTCCTTCCCCGCCGCCGCGGCCCGGGGCATTGTGGAACTTGTAGTCCGGCGCCGCGCTGTCCCCGCCCTCCGCCCTGCGGACCCACGTGTGGGGCTCCACCCGCGGTTCTCTGCGCCTGCAGATCGCGAAGGGGCTGGCGGGGGCGGTTTTGGGGGTTGTGCTACCCCCTAGAGGTTTGGGCGGCAGCAGCGTCCGCCCCCTCCCCTGCCAACAGCCAGGGCATCTATCACACCAGACACCGACGTCAGCTGGAGCACGTCAGAGTACCCGTGTTCGTGATGCAGTGTGGAAGGCTCTGAGGAACTCAGGTGGCCCCTACTGTTATGTCAGAGTGGACGCCAGAAGGCACTTTGGCCACCAAAATTAATTCTTCAGCCCAGAGCCCAATATCCATGGGCTGCCCCACCAGGCTGGCTAGGGATACCCATCCTCAGGGCTGCCCCTTTCCTTGGTCCCCTCCTCCACCTTCGGGACTCCACAGCCCCTTCAGGGCTGTGGAAGAAGCATAGACCTTGGAACCTGGCAGAAATCCTGATCCCTTATCTTGTGCTTCTCAGCTATATGACCTTGGGTGGGTTATTGAATCTCTCTGAACATTAATTTCTTCCTCTCTAAAACACACCTCGTAAGTCAATCATAAGGAAGAAATTAGATGTTTTATTAAAAAGTGTAAAAACTAAGGTACATGTCACACAGTAGCTATTCGCTCACCTCCACCCAAACCTGGTCTCAGGAGTCGGGTCTTTGGTGTGTTACTGTGTGGATGGCATTGAATCCCAGGCCTGTGGATATCTGGATTTTTCCCTCTGGGCTCCTGTAGCCACAGAGATCTCACATCCTGGTTTTTACAGGCCAGTCTTGATTTAAAATAATCTATCCTAGTCTTCCCATGGTTCTTGCCTACTGTGGGAGCAAGTGGCCCAAATATTGCCTTAGGAATGTCAGTCTAGATTGATACCATACAGAACTAACCTACCTCTAGTTCCATCCCTCCTGTTCATTCATTTATTCTACTAACATATTTTTTAAAAGATGTACTATGGCCAGGCGCAGTGGCTCACGCCTGTAATCCTGGCACTTTGGGAGCCAAGGCAGGCGGATCACTGAGTTCGAGACCAGCCTGGCCAACATGGTAAAACCCTGTCTCTACAAAAAAAAATACAAAAATTAGCTGGGCGTGGTGGCGGGCGCCTGTAATCCCAGCTACTCGGGAGGCTGAGGCAGGAGAATCATTTGAATGCGGGAGGTGGAGGTTGCAGTGAGCTGAGATCGAGTCACTGCACTCCAGCCTGGGTGACAGAGTGAGACTCCGTCTCAAAAAAAATTACACACACACACACACACACACACACACACACACACACACACACTATATCCCAGGCATTGTGCAAGATACTGGGAATAAAATGGTGAATCAGACCCTCTTCCTGCCCTCATGTGGCTCCATATACTAGTAGAAGAGCTAGACGTGTGAACAGCCCAACAGTGCTATAACACGTGTGTGCTAGTTGCTGGGGCAACACATTTGAGGAGCTCTTTGCTCTTAGTGTCTCTCTTGGGAGGTATACCTGGTGCTACTTCCTGCTGTCAATTCTAATTAAGCACCTAAAAGAGATGTTGGATGTTACTTTTAGAATTATACAACATCAGAACTAGGTTTTATGTTCAACCACTATATTTCGCAGATGAAACCCAGAGAGGGCACAAGATATCCTTAAGCTTATGCAGGGAGATAGAAACACAGGTTCCTCAGGAGCTTAGGAGACCCTGTGTGTTGATTAGCTTGCACCAGGTGCTTTGGAAGGTACAAGGAACTCGGGAATAGTGACTGGGTTGGTTCTGGGGCTGAGTTGTGTGGGTAATCAAACAGTGGACAGCTTCATGCTGGGAAAAGATCCAGCTTGGCCAGGGAAGTGGAAGTGTGCGTAAGAAGGACGATGTGTGTCACTGATGCCCTAGGATATCTGGGGGTAGCAGATACCCTGCAACATCTCTGGCAGATTTATTGGCTGCGGCCTCTGCAAATGTCACCTCTTGTAGGTTTTAGGAAACGTGTGTGTGTTGGTGGGGGGGAGGGGGCTAACAGAACTGCAGCCCACTTTGGCAATGGGACTGCAGAGGAACTGGGACATTTCAGGGAGCTCCCTGGCCCTAGAGGGAGTGAAAGGACAGGATGGACAAGGGGTGAGGACAAGAAAAATTGAGAGCCACGTGGGCTTTGGTTGGTCTCTCCAATGGGATGAGTAGGGGAGAAAGGCATATACTATTTCATCCCTCCCTCTTCTTCCTCTATGTACCAATGGGGTCGGGTAGCATTTAGCTAATCTCCCAAGTCCGGCAGGGGGAGGGTCTTTTAGGAGAGCACTGCTGCAGCCGGCAGTGGAGAGCCTGGGCAGGGAGACAGGGAGAAAACTCCGGCAGCAGGGTGGTCTCTAGGGCTGACCTCGGAGCCTGGGGACAGGGGAGCCTATGCCGCACTGAAGGCGGGACGCTGTAAGCGAGGAGCAGCTGGGCCTGGGCGGACTCCTCGGCCAATCAGCCTCGGTCAGCAGCACCCTCAGGCGCAGGGCACTGTTTGGGCATTGCCTAGAGATCCGACACCCCGCCCAGATCAGCGCAGGGAGGCGAAAGCGACAGCCGGGCGCGGGAGGAGACCAGGGCAGCTGTCCCCTCCGCGAGGGTGGCCCTCGAGGCAATGCGGGTGGGGGCTGGTGAGGAGGCGGAAGGGCCGAGGCTGAGTGGGAGGGGCCGGGGCGCCAGGGCTGGAGCGCGCGGCTCGGGGGTGGAGGCTGCAGAGCCAGCGAGCGAGCGAGGGGCGGGGGCGCCCGGGCCGGCGCGCAGGAGGGGCGGGGGCGGCGGGGAGGGGGGCTCGGGCTGCGTGTGCCGGAGCCGGCGGGGGCGGCGGTGCGTGCGCATGACGCGGGGGGAGGGCCTGGGCCGCGCGCTCCCGGTCCCGTTGTTGTTGCCGCTGGAGGCTGCTCCGAGGCAGCGGGATCACGGCGCTGGGAAGCGCTCGGCAGCGGCGGCCACAGCGTGCGCGGCGGCGCCTCCTGGCCTCGGCCTCCGGCCCCCGGCCCCCGGCTCCATGCGCTAGCCCCGCGCCGCCAGCCCAGTAGTCCCGGCCCCGCCAGCCCCGCGCTCCCGCTCGCCGCTGCCGCCGCCGCCGCCGCCGCCGCCTCCGCCGCGCCGCCCCGGGCCCGCCTCGGGCCCCACGGCTCCGAAGCCATGAACTTCCAGGCGGGCGGGGGGCAGAGCCCGCAGCAGCAGCAGAGCCTGGCGGCTCCGGGGGGCGGCGGCGCTGCCGCGCAGCAGCTCGTCTGCGGCGGGCAGTTCGGCGGCGCGGGGCCCGGGGCCGGGGGCGGCGGCGGCCCCTCGCAGCAGCTGGCCGGCGGGCCCCCCCAGCAGTTCGCGCTCTCCAACTCCGCGGCCATCCGGGCCGAGATCCAGCGCTTCGAGTCCGTGCATCCCAATATCTACGCCATCTACGACCTGATCGAGCGCATCGAGGATTTGGCGCTGCAGAACCAGATCCGGGAGCACGTCATCTCCATCGAGGGTGAGCGGAGCCGGGGGCTGCGGGAGCCGGGGCGCAGTGGCCTCTCCGGCGCCGGCCGAGGGCTCCACAGGCCGTGCCTGGCCATGCTCTCCCTGTCGGGGGTCCTTGCGCGCTTGAGGACCAGGCCACGAGGTTTGCCGATCTGTGTTGCAGAACCGGCGGGCAGCTTCGCCATATCTCGTTCGGGGACACTTTGGGGTTGGGGGTTTTCTGCTGACTGTGTTCCAGGGCGCGAAGGTGGTGTCGCTTGGGGGGGCCGGGACCAGATCTGTCCAGGCCTGGCCGGGGAAGGTGGGCGCGGCAGAGGGCTTCAGCTGCGGGGAGGTGGGGTCGTGACCGGGGAGGCTTCTTAGCCGCTGCCCGGGCCCTGCTCCGCAGTGGGGCGGGGGATCGGAGCCTCGCGTTAGTGGATGGCAGCCTTCCCGGGCCCAGCGCCCGCAGGCCCGGAGGGTGGCGCTCGCCGCGGCGCCCTCTCCCGACGCACACCCCCTACGCCGCGGCGGCCAAGCGGGAGCGGGCCGGGCCTGGCGCTGGGCTGAGGCTCAGCGACCGCGTGGGAGGCGCCGGCAGGTCCATCCGCGCTTTGGCCGGGTCATGAGCCTGACGGGGATCCGCGGCTCCTCGGTCTGGAGGCAGCTGCTGGGCAGCCGGGTGCTGACCGACCGCCAGGGACACCGCACCCGGAGTCGGGGACCGGAAACCCCCGGCCACTGCGCTGCCTAGCGCTTTTTTCTCTGGGCCCTTAGGCCCTGGACTTTCGACCGCTGAGGGCACAGGAAGTGGTGGCACGCTGCTGGCAGATGCCTCGCAAGCCCTGGTGTGGTGGGTGCTGGAGGCACCCGCAGGCACCCCGGTGGCATGGTGACCTTCGAGCGGGCACGGACAGATGGGCCTCACCCTGGGCCATCTGCTTCCTCCCCCAGCTCTGTTTGAAAGGGGACGCCCACCGGCAGGTGGTGGGTTTGGCCTCAGTGGAAATGCAGTGAGAGCCAAGGCCTTTTGCGATAACATGGAGTTATGGGCAGGGGCCTGTCCCTGACTTGGGCCTTAAGGTTAGGGCCCCACTCCCAGCTTCATCTGCTTGCCTGAGGTTCTGGGGGATAGTGCACCTGAACACCTCCCTTTCTGCTTTCAGAGGTCCCCATAGCCGGGGAAGAAGTACTGGGTCTGGGGGGACCCCATGTGGTGCTGGGTTCTATCTTTTGTTGTGACATGCCAGTCTGACTTCCTTCTGCCTTTTCCCAACCCGTTCTTATTTCTTTCCTCTCAAGGCTGAGTTCTCTGTGAACTAATTAGGTGACAGAAAAAACTCATTAACGTGGATCTGAGTAAATGGCCTGAATCACCGCTGTGGCTGGGGACTAGGAGATGGCATTTGTGCGAGCCCTGGGCCCCAAAGACAGGAGATGACCAATTTTTCCTCTTAGATCTGAAGAGGGTGGAGGCGGGAGAGACATCGTTGCTGCAGCTTCACTGTCCTTGGAGGAAGTAAAGACATTCCTGATTTGCTCCAAGCTTACCTTCCCCCAGCTCCTTCTGGAGGGCGACAAGCCTCGTGGGCCGGCCACAGGAGGGTGGGGGCACATCTGCTTCCGAGCTTTTCCCAGAGCAGGGAGAGGTTTCCGGGCTCCCCTGGCTCCAGCTTGATGAGCAGCGACCCCTCCTCCCCAGCTCAGGGGAGCCTCTGGTTGAGCATCTTTTGTGATGTGAAGGCTGATTCCTGGGGCGCCCTTGAGTTTTTTTTGCCTGATCTTAAATTTAACACAACAGGCAGAATTTCCCCTCCTAGAGCCCTCCCCTGACCGACTTCTCCATTGCGGTTTGGAAATACCCCATGGTTCCGTCTACTAGGCCTGGAAGCTCGGCCTCACCCTCGTGAAATCCCGGGAGCCGGTGTCTCACTGTCACCAGACCGACCCAGCCGCGGCTCACACATCCGTTCTCAGCCCTGCTGTTCCCACTCCTGGGCCCTGCTGCCCTGCTGCCCTGCTGTCCCTCCCTCCCCCCTGCCCAGCCTCTCCTGGCACCGTCATCTTTATCCACCTCACCCGTCTTGCGTTCCCACTTTTCTGCTGTAGGCAGTCTTCAAAAGAAAAAAAAAACCACTCCTTCTCCAGTTTCTGCCCTATATCCTTCCTGCGATAGAACTCCTCTCCATCTGCCAAACCATATTGCTTCTGTCCTGCGAAGCGGTGTCCCCACCTTCTTTCTGCGAGGAGGGAGAGGCGCAGACTCCCTGGGCGTTTCCGAGCACAGTCTGAGGCTGGACTGAGACCCAGCCCTCCACCCCCAGCCCCAGGGCGGAACAGACCTAGGCTGTTACATAAACACAGTGTCAGCTGGGAGCCGGGTCCTGTGTTTCCTGGGGCTAAGCCTCTCGGTGGAAAGGGGCGGCAGTTCCGAGTGTATAACAAAGCCTCCCTCACTCTGTTTAGACTTCGGTGAAGGGTTTGTTTGTCCCAGCTCTGAAGGTGACGTGGGACCTGCGGTCAGGATCCATCTGGCTCTGAGGAAGTGCAGTGGGCACTTGGGCCTCCTGTAGTCTCTGCCACTCACAGTCACTTCTGACCCCGTGTCCAGGACAGGAGGAAGCAGGGGATGTTTGGCTTTCCTGTGTTTCAGGACAGGATTTGAGGAGAGGGAGACCATTTTGAAAAGTTCCTTTCCCACCAGAGGCCAAGGAAAGAGAAAACCTGCCCATTACTTGGCCTTAGGGAGTGGAAGAAGTACAGCCTTCAGCTGGGAGGGAGAGCTGGAGGGCTCACTATGTGCAGAGCCTCTGAGCCACCTTCACCTCACTAGTGGGGAAACTGAGGCTCAGAGAAGGGAGGGAGCCAAGCGGATACAGCCAGGGAGAGTATAGGCCTTCAACAGGAGCCCGCTTCCGGCTTGGCACTCACCTGCAGTGAGCGCTCCCTGACAGCTTGGGTTTCCTGGCTGAGTCCTAGAAAGAGGGATGCAGGAGAACGAGGGCCTCAGTCCAAATGGGGACACTGGGCACGTGGAGCGCAGGATGTTGTACCAAGCTAGCCAGGAGCCCCAAAGGAGCCCGGGATCTTTCCAGGACCTGCTGGTCCCAGTCGTTGTGTGCAGGTGAGGGCCCGGCACAGGGGAGGAGCAGGGGCTTGGGGAGGGCCTGGGATCCCTGCTGGCAGTTCCCAGATGGGGGGGGGGGGCTCCCGCCTGGAAGTGGAAGTGGACCTGACTATTAGGTGTGTGTGCCATATGGCTACTATTATGTGTGCCGGAGCTGGGCTTTGTCAGCTGGGTGACTTACTCAGGTTTCTCCATCGTTTTCCCACTAGGGCTTTTTTTTTTTTTTTTTTTTTTTTTAAACAGTTACTTCGAGCATTCCAGCCGGCCTGGCCTGGCCAGCAGAGCGTTCTCACTGTCACCCTTACCCCACTCACTTTCATTCAGTTCACAGATTGCCTGCCCTGGGCTGTGGGCTTGGTGACATCCTAAAGGGACTAAGGTAAAGAGATGTGGGGGTTTCTTGTTTGGGTCAAGCCTCAGCTAGACAGAGAAGGGGCCACAGCTGTGACTGCAGTTGGGTGGCAGCTCAGAGGGAGAGTAAGACGGTGCATGTGGCCGGGTACAGTGGCTCACGCCTGTAATCCCAACATTTTGGGAGACCAAGGCGGGCGGATCACGAGGTCAGGAGATCGAGACCATCCTGGTTAACATGGTGAAACCCCCGTCTCTACTAAAAATACGAAAAATTAGCCGGGCGTGGTGGCGGGCACCTGTAGTCCCAGCTACTCGGGAGGCTGAGGCAGGAGAATGGTGTGAATCTGGGAGGCAGAGCTTGCAGTGAGCTGAGATCGCACCACTGCACTCCAGCCTGGGCAACAGAGCAAGACTCCGTCTCAAAAAAAAACAAAAACAAAACAAAACAAAACGGCATACGCCCTGGCATCCCACAGCCCTCAGCCCTTAGGCACACCTGGGGTTTTAGTGTTTGTGTCTGTTTCTGTTCGTCCTGTGACTTGATCCTGGAGGACTGGCATGATGGTCCCCATGTTTGTGCCAGGGTGCTCTCTTGAGCTTTCCTTACTGTTCCTGGGTGGGCACTCCCTGGCCGGGCCCTGCATTCCGCCGTGGGCCCTGCTGCACCACACACTGCTGAGGTTCCCTTCAAAGATGAGGACTGGGGGGGTCTGGGATGGGTGCCGGGGACATGCATCTGGAGCCAGCCCAGGCCCCTCTGGCAATTCGTTGGTTTAGGGACTGAGTGTCTCATGGGGGCCTGGTTGCTTATGCAGGACTTTGCTCGCAAGAGTTCTAGCAATTCTGAAAAAGAGCATAACCATGTGGGTGCTAGTAGCCAGGGAAAGCTTCATTTGTTCCAGATACATTCATTTAGCTCCTACTGTGCGGCCCAGTTGCATCTAGCACAGTGAAAAGCAGACAATCAAAGGAGAGACAGGGAGCGAAGGGGCCAGAAGGTCTGGGCTTGGTGCACCTGGAGAGAACGACTCAGCCTGTAGGAGGTGCCAGAGAGGCACTGGGAGTCCAGAAGGAGACCTAGATTTTCAGAAGACCAGGGCAGGGCAAAGGTCAGAGACTTGGGAAACCTCATCACGACTTCTTTCTTCCGGGTCAGAAGCCAGAACAGGAAGACCTGTCCAGCCTGATCTCAGGCTGCATGGCCTCGTGGGAACCCCTGGTACCCTGCTCCATCCAGGGTCTCAGCTCTGGCTCTCCCCAGCAGTGGTACCCCACAGATGAAGCAGTCCTTGTCCCTATGATGCCACCTGGCAATCTTCCTGTATCATTTATTTCTTTCCTCAAACGTGTGCCAGGCCTGGGGGTCCGGAGGATTCCCACATAGAGGAAACAGGATGATGAAGATAACGGAGGCAGGAGAACATAGTGTGGCTCTCGGAACGGCAAGTTGGACTCTGCAGCTCGGGTGTTGAGTTGTAGGAGATGGGTGGGTGAGGTGGGCAGGACCCTGGTGAAGGAGTATTTCATGCTTTCTCCAGTATTTATTTCCACCCTGCCGTGTTCCTAGAAACCGCAGGAGTTGGTGCGTCATTCTGCGAAAGATGGGCGTCACAAGCGTTTAAGCCTTTGAGAAGGCTTGAGCCACGCCAGCATCCACACCGCTCGTTTGTGCTTGTGAGCCCCCTACCAGCTGTCAGTGCGTCCCTGGCCCAGAAGTGGAGGGAACGAGGTACGCTTCTTGGAAAGCAGGTGTAGCCTGGGAGAGCCAAGGCTGGGGGGAGACAGACACCCCCGTAAGAACTCCCATGTCCGTGTGTGGCATTGCCTAAACATCCACCTGTTGTGTTAGTTTCTTTTTAATATGCAGGTAACTGGAAATTAGTTTAATCTGATGCTTTCCTCCTGACCCCTAGCTGACTTAAACCATTGCAGGCCAAGTGGTAAGGGAGCTTATTTTGGAGCGCAGAGTTGAGGTAGGGAAGGGGGGTGAGCCCAGCCACGTGCTTTGAGGGCGCAGAGATTGGGTGGTGCATGTTCCACCCGTGAATGTTCTTCCCTCTGCCAGGCTCACTGCTGGGGGTTGGAATGAGGCTTTGCAACACTTTGCATCTCATAGTTTATTTTCCCAGAGGAGGGTCTTTTTTGGATTTGCAAGTATTTCCATTTCACAAGTGAGACAGCCTAGGACCTAGATTAAGTAACTTTCCTGAAGCCACGCAGTGAGGGGAGGAAGCAGGGATTTTCTCTGGTTCTCCAACTCCAGGTCTCTGTGGTTTGCCTTGCATGTATGGGCTGAATAAGTGTTGTTGGCCACACCACATCAGCCCTTAAAAGCTGCTTCTACAGGAAACTTTATGGGAGTCAAATGGACCAGAGTTTAACTCTTGGAAGCCTTTAGAATATAATTTTAGGGTGAATTAGGCCTCCTGCTCCCTACTATAATTTTCTTCTGCTCCCCACTATAATTTTCTTCTGGACGTCTTCAATCCCCAACTGAATTGAATGGTGGCTCTCTGAGGCGTCTGTCTCCCATGGGTAGCACGGATGTAGCGTACAATAGACAGATGCTTGCTCAAGAAACATATATATGTATGTATGTATTATATGTATGTATATGTGTGTGTATATATATTTTTGGAGACAGGGTCTCCCTCTGTTGTCCAGGCTGCAGTGCAGTGGTGCAGTCCTAGCTCACTGTAGCCTCAAAATCTTGGGCTCAAGCGATCTTCCACCTCAGTCTCCCAGGTAGCAGAGACTGCAAATATGCACCAGCACACCCAGCTAATTTTTTCATTCTTTGTAGAGATGGGGTCTTGCTATGTTGTTTGGCCTGGTCTTGAACTCCTGGACTCAAGCAATTTTTCCACCTCGGCCTCCCAAGGTGCTGGGATTACAGGCATGAGCCACCACGTCCGTGCCCAAATATGTATTTAATTTAAATTTCATTTTAATGTGTTTAAGGGATGAAAGTAAATACATGCTTGTTACAAGCCATTCAAATGTAGAAGTAGGAAGGTGGCTGCCCGGCCTCCCCTCTCCTGGGAGGATCTGTGGTGAGCAGTCGGATGTGCATCCTTCTGGTCTTTTTTCTATTAACGACTCTTTGCTGGATTTGCTGTTACTAGGCTTTCGCAGCAAACGTGGGATTGTTGTGGAAAATGCTTTGCTGGGAGAAGGGGAGCCGGAGATTCACAAAAGGAGGCTCCCGTGTTCATTTGCGTATTTGGCAGCTCCTAGGCTGGGAGTCAGGATACCTGGGTTCCCGTCCCTGCTCTGCCACTAACTGGCTGTGAGAGCTGGGGCAAGTCTGCTCTGGGTGCGTCTTCTGAGAGTCACATTCTGGTTGTCTATGCAGCTAGGGGTGACCCTGGCGTGAGTATCTGGAACAGGCCAGGCTTGGCTCCCTGGCCGGGGGTCTTGTCTGTCAAGTGAGCACCTGAGCTGGGGTCCCTGAGATCTGTTCTGAGGCTGCCTCTGTCATGCAGCACTTTGAGATGCGCCCCCCTTGGAGCCCTCCAGGAGCTGAGAATCAGAAGAGATCCTGTGGGGAGAGGTGAGATTTTCTGTACCTCTGTTTCCTTACCTGAGGTGGGTCATAACAAAGCTCTGCCGCTTGGTAGTGCTGAGGATTGAGACCCCCAACGCGGTGTGCTTAGAACAGTGCCTAGCGTGTCATAAGCACAGGTGAAATATCAGGCATTATTCTGAAAGGCGGCAGGGTATCCTGTGTAAGGGAATGCTGTTTATTACGTGCCGCCTTGTACGCTTGTCTCGTTATTGCTTTTGGACAAATTTTCAGAAGAAAATGGTCAGACTCTGGGGTCGGCACATTTTTAGGACGTTTGCGGCACTCTGGCACCCTGCCCTCCAGAAAGGCCATTTGATTTTCAGGCATAGAGACAGCCTGGAGTTCCCTGCCCCACTTCCCCGGCACCCCTTCTTCATCTGATACGTAAGAAAAAAAAAAAAAAGACTAAATGACTCTCGTTGTTTTACTTTGTTTGACTTTGATTACTAGTTGATCACTAGCTATTTCATTATTGGATTCACTTTGACTATTAGTGAGAGTTGATATTAAAACATTTTTGAGAGGTCATTTGCATTTTGTTCATTCTGTACATATCCTTTATTCATTTTACTTTTGGTTTGTTCCTCTTTTTCTTTTTTCTTTTTGTAAAAATGGGGTCTCACTATGTTGCCCAGGCTGGCTGTAAACTCCTGGCCTCGAGTGATCTTCCCGTCTCACCTCCCAAAGTGCTGGCATTTCAGGTGTGAGCCACCATGCCTGGCCTCCCCTCCCTTCCTCCCTCCCTTCCCTCCTTCCCTCTGTCCCTCCCTTCCTCCCTTCCTCCCTTCCTTCCTTCCTTCCTTCCTCAGAATATTGGTCTGTCACCCAGACTGGAGTGTAGTGACGCGATCGTAGCTCACTGCAACTTCAAATTCCTAAGCTCAAGCAATCCTCCCACCTCAGCCTCTTGAGTAGCTGGGACTCAGGCATGTGTCACCACATCTGGCTAATAATTTTTAAAATTGTCTTGTAGAGTCAGGGTCTGTGTTGCCCAGGCTGGTCTCAAACTCTTGGCCTCAAGTGATGCTCCTGCCTCCACCTCCCAATGTTACTTTTTCTTATTGAGCTGAAGACCGTTTTAATCTCTTTTAATGTAGGTTTTTCTACAACGTACATTTCTCTGTTTGCTGCAAGTCAGGCACTGTCTGAGTTCCCATAGTCAGCACTTCGGCCTCAATGTGCCCTGAGCTGAGCAGACAGTGCCATCCTCTGGGCCACCCAGGAGGCTGAGGCTGGCTGTGCCCGCTCCATACCGTAGCCCCAGATGGCTGTACCTTAGGGCTTTGTGCCTGTTCCTTTTCTGCCAGAACCCCTCCTTACCGCCGTAGGGGTGCCTGCCTACAGCAGCTTCCCTTTAGCCTTTTCAGTTTGGTGTTTTGATGGCTTGCAAACCTGAAACCCCAGCGCCTGGAGTGGGATCAAAGCCTGTCACAGGGGCAGAGGGAGGACCGAAAAGTCTAGACCCCTCCAGGGATCTCTGCTCTGCTTCTGCTGGGATCCCCACCCCTTCCTGGGCCTGGGTTTTTCCAGGCACTGGTGGATGGCACTTCTGTGCCTGGAGGAGGTTTTGGTTAAAGATGCTCTAAATGTCTTGTCCAATCACAGTTGTACAAAAAAAAAAAAAAAAAAAAAAAAAAGATACCAGAAAGGCAAGCCCCAGAGCCTTTGTTTGAGAAGAGTTGGGACGTTTTGGAGGCTTTCCATCACTCTGAGGCAGCACCCCCTGCCCCCCTGCCACCCCATTATTACTTCTAGATTGTTCTGGATGGTTCTATATTGGGTGATGTGGAATGAAGCCTGGCCTTCATTTCTTCTCTCAGGGCCTGAATAGAATAGAGGTTAAGCACCTGGGCTCTGGAGCCAGGCTGCCTAGATTTGAGTCCCAGACCTACCACTTGGGAGCTGTGTGACCTCGGGTGAGTTCCTTAACCCCTCTGTGTCTTAGCTTCGCCATTGGTAAAACATGGGCATCCGTTTCATGGTGTGGGCGTGAGAAGCAAATCAGTTAACGTCTGCAGAGCTTTTAGAGCAGCAGCTGCCCTGAGGATGTGCGTGCTGGGTGGCGACTGTCTCATTACTTGTCTCAGAGGCTCAGCTGTCATCACCGCCTGCGTGGGGATGCGTGAGGTGAGGGCTGCATGAGATCACAGGAATGACCATTTCCGGACCCGAGCCTGAGAGCCCAGGTGGCAGAGTGTGGGGTACGTTGGTTTAGCTCATCCAGGCCCAGGGGAAGGGACCTGAGGGGGCAGGGCTGTCACAGGGCCTGCACGTTCCCGTGAACACCCAGGGTCATCTTTGATGTTTTGCCTGTTGTTTTTTTCTCTGATTCAGCACTGTGCAGTAGACATGGGCGAGTCACACGTGTGAACTTAAATTTTCTTTTCTTTTTTTTTTTTTGAGGTGGAGTCTCGCTCTGTCGCCCAGGCTGGAGTGCAGTGGCGCGATCTCGGCTCACTGCAACCTCTGCCTCCCAGGTTCACGCCATTCTCCTGCCACAGCCTCCCGAGTAGCTGGGACTACAGGTGCCCACCACCACGCCCGGCTTATTTTTTGTATTTTTAGTAGAGACGAGGTTTCACCGCGTTAGCCAAGGTAGTCTCGATCTCCTGACCTCGTGATCCACCCGCCTCAGCCTCCTAAAGTGCTGGGATTACAGGCATGAGCCACTGCGCCTGGCCTAAATTTTCTTTTCTTTTCTTTAACGAGACAGAGTCTTGCTTTGTTTCCCAGGCTGGAGTGTAGTGGTATGATCTCAGCTCACTGCAACCTCTGCCTCCCGAGTTCAAGCAATTCTCGTGCCTCAGCCTCCCAAGGCACATGCCTTGGGATTACAGGCACATGCCACCATGTCTGGCTAATTTTTGTATTTTTTGTAGAGACGGGGTTTTACCATGTTGGCCAGGGTGGTCTCGAACTCCTGACCTCAGGTGATCTGCCTACGTTGGCCTCCCAAAGTGCTGGGACGACAGGCGTGAGTGAGCCACCGCGCCCGGCCTGATTTTCAATTTTCAAGTAGCCATATTAAAAAGATTTTTTAAAAGTGAGATTAATTTTAATATATTTTATTTAACCCAGTATATTCAAAATTGTATAAGTTCTTATGTTGCTATAAAGAGACACCTGAGGCTGGATAATTTGTAAAGAAAAGAAGTTTAGGTCGGGCACTGTGGCTCACACCTGTAATCCCAGCACTTTGGGAAGCCGAGGCAGGTGGATCACCTGAGGTCAGGAGTTTGAGATCAGCCTGGCCAACATGGTGAAACCCGGCCTCTACTAAAAAATACAAAAATTAGCCAGCCCTGATGGTGGGCACCTGTAATTCCAGATACTCAGGAGGCTGGGGCAGGAGAATCACTTGAACCCAGAAGGCGGAGGTTGCAGTGAGCTGAGATTATGCCTGGGCGACAGAGTGAGACTCTGTCTCAAAAAAAAAAAAAAAAAAGAAAAAGAAAAGAGGTTTAATTGGCTGACAGTTCAGCAGGTTGTGCAGGAAGGTGGTGCTAGCATCTGCTGTGCTTCCGGGGAGGCCTCAGGGAGCTTTTTACGGGTGGCAGAAAGCAAAGCAGGAATAGGAAGTCACATGGTGGAAGTGGGAGCGACAGGGAGGGCGCTACACTCTTCAACAGCCGCAGTGGGGACAGCACTCATGAGGGACCTGGCCCCATGACCCAAACACCCTCCCACCAGGCCCCACCTCTAACACTGGGGATCACATTTCAACATGAGATTTGGAGGAGACACACATCCAGACCATATCAAAAATATTCTCATTTCAGCATGAAATCTATTAATATATAAATATCTATTAATAAGATATTTTTATGTTCTTCTGTTCATACCACGTCTTCACACTCCACTTGGTATTGACACCCAGCGCCTCCGCATGGGACTGGCCATGTTTGCAGTGCCCCCTGGCCATACCAGGCCAGTGGCTATGGTGTTGAAGAATAGCTCTGATTTATAGCCTATAAGATAACAAATGGGACCAAGCGCGGTGGCTCACACCTGTAATCCCAGCACTTTGGGAGGCCGAGGCAGGCAGATCAGTTGAGGTCAGGAGTTCAAGACCAGCCTGGCCAACATGACGAAACCCTGTCTCTACAAAAAATAGGAAAATTAGCCAGGCATGGTGGCGCATGCCTCCAGTCCCAGCTACTCCGGAAGCTGAGGCAGGAGAATTGCTTGAACCTGGGAGGCAGAGGTTGCAGTGAGCTGAGATTGCACCACTGCACTTCAGCTTGGGCGACAGAGGGAGACCCTGGCACACACACACACATACAAACACACACATATACACAAAGATAACACATGGGACTGGGTGCCACTTTGGGAGGCCAAGGTGGGCAGATCACTTGAGACCAACCTGGGCAATATAGTGAGACGCTGTCTCTACAAAAAAAAATTAAAAAATTAGCCAGGTGTGGTGGCGTGCGCCTATAGTCCCAGCTACTCAGGAGGCTGAGGTGAGAGGACTGCTTGAACCCAGAGTCAAGGCTGCAGTGAGCCGTGATCACACCACTACACTCCAGCCTGGGCGACAGAGCAAGACCAGTCTGTTTAAAAATAAATAAATAACAAATGCCTGTTGGTTGTAAAAATTGAATACTGAAGTGTATCCTCTTTGATTCAATTTTCTTTTCTTTTTTTTTTTTTTTTTTTGAGACAGTCTTGCTGTGTCACCCAGGCTGGAGTGCAGTGGTGCAGTCTTGGCTCACTAACAACCTCCACCTCCTTGGTTCAATCAATTCCCCTGCCTTAGCCTCCCGAGTAGCTGGGATTACAGGTGCATGCCACCACAGCCGGCTAATTTTTTTGTATTTTTAGTGGAGACGGGGTTTCACCATGTTGGCCAGACTGGTCTCGAACTCCTGACCACAGGCAGTCCACTCACCTTGGCCTCCCAAAGCGCTGGGATTATAGGTGTGAGCCATCTATTCAACTTTTCAAAAGATTATATTAAAAATTCAGGGCTGGGCACGGTGGCTCACGCCTGTAACCCCAGCACTTTGGGAGGCCGAGGCAGGCGGATCACGAGGTCAGGAGATCGAGACCATCCTGGCTAACACAGTGAAACCCCGTCTCTACTAAAAATACAAAAAATTAGCCGGGCATGGTGGCGGGCGCCTGTAGTCCCAGCTACTCGGGAGGCTGAGGCAGGAGAATGGTGTGAACCCGGGAGGCGGAGCTTGCAGTGAGCCGAGATCACGCCACTGCACTCCAGCCTGGGCGACAGAGTGAGACTCCATCTCAAAAAAAAAAAAAAAAATCAGAATAATGTGCCCTTCTCAGTCACATAACAAATACTTCTTTGTCGAGCACCCACCTAGGCTGTGGTGATTGACAGCAGACAAATCCATTTAAAAGTCTTGCTGAATTCACAGTAGTCTTTTGTCCCTGTGTGTTTTCTTAAAACCTAGAAGTACAACTGTTGTTGTGTGTGGTGGGTGACAAAGTGTGTTCATGTTAAGGGGCACTCGTGTTCCCACCTTGGGTCCTGTGCCAGGTGGGAGGGTGGAGCCCAGGCCCTGCTCTTATGAGATGAAGTGCATGTGGGCCCGGGGACTGGCACCGGGACCGGGCCGCTGGCCGCTGTCAGTCAGCATCTTGACCACCTGCTAGGGGCTTCCCTCGGGACCGTGGGTCAGAGGCCTCAGTCAGCAAAGCCACAGTCTTTCCTCACCCCATCCTGGCATTTTAGGCAGGGGCCATTTTTGTAAGGTTTTTTTTGTTTGTTTGTTTGTGTTTGTCCCATACTAAGTAATATATGTAATAGCAGAAAGTTTGTAAACACACACGGACTCTTGGAAACTGTGTTGCACAGAGGGAAGCTCCCTGTCTCTCCGCCCACTTCCTGGCTGAGAAACAGGGAGAGCCCCCACCCTGGAAATGAGGTGCTCATGGACTGTGCTGGGAAGAGCCCGCGGTGCTGCAGCAGTCAGTGACGGATCCCTTCCTACCCGCTCTTGTGAATGTCGGGAAGGACCCGGGGCTTTGTGGGAGCCTGAGGACAGGCTGCAGGGGGCAGCCCCTGCCTGCAGTGCGCCCTTTGTGGCGTCTCAGATGGGGTGTCCTGAGCCCAACTCCGAGAGGGTCTTGTGGGGATTTCGTGCTCCCCCAGCTGCGGTGCTGTTTTGGAGGGAGATGCCGTCCTGAACCCATGTTACTAGATTCTCATCACATCCCGGGCTGGTTGTGGAGCACCAAGAACCCTCCTGGCTTCCATGCCTGGGAGAGGCTTGGTGTGAGGTGCCACCTGAGCCTGCTCTGTGCCCTGCACTTCTCTGTGTGGGTCCTGAGCCGTACAGCAGCCCCTAAGAGATGTGTCGCGTTCCACTTCACATGGGAAGGCTGCTGTCTCTCCCAGCAGCTACGCCAGTGTCGGGATTGCTCAGCAAGCTGCGGTGTAAACCTGGCTATCGAGTAATTAGCACCCTTATAAAAACAAAATTAAGGCCGGGCCGGGCACAGTGGTTCACACCTGTAGTCCCAGCACTTTGGGAGGCCAAGGCAGGAGGATCGCTTGAGTCCAGGAGTTCACGACCAGCATAGGCAACACAGTGAGACCTCATCTCTACAGAAAACAAAAATAAATACATAAATTAGCTGGGTGTGGTGGTGCACGCCTGTAGTCCCAGCTACTCAGTTGGCTGAGGTGCGAGGATCGCCTGAGCCCAGGAGGTTGAGGCTGCAGTGAGCTGAGATTGCACCACTGCATTCTAGCCTGGAAGACAGAGTGAGACACTGTCTCAAAAAATAATAATAAAATAATAATAATAAATAGACCTGGCTCTGTCAGGACTCCTTGCCCCCATCACAGGACCCTGCCTGGCCGACTCTGCTCTCCCTGCAGCCCTGGCCTGGTGGGTGGGTGCCTGTCCCACCTGCAGCCCCCCATGGAGCTCAGCTGGTTCCAACCACCTTCAGGTCCCCCATGGCCTGGAGCAGCCGCCACCTCCCCCGCTGGCACGCGTCAATCCTGGCGTCCGCATCACTCACCACCTCCCTGATGGATGTTGAGCCCTGAGCCCAAGTGGAACTGCCCAGCCATCCCCGGGTCCCCAGCCCAGCACCAGGCCCGGCCCCATGAGTGCTTGAGCCACCAAGGAGCCTCCTTACTTCTGTAGTGGGTCCACAGGGCCCCTCCTGGGCTGGTGGGGGAATGGCTGTCAGGCAGGCACTTGAGGAAGCAGCTTGCAGGGACCCGTGCATTGCTATCTCCTCCTGGGCTGGAGGGGACAGGCCATTATGGTGGCTGGATGGTCTCCTTCTGAGGCGGGTGTATCCTGACTCATGCCCTCCCTGTTGGCAGGGATATCAGGATCAGGTCTGTGTAGGAGCCTCTTGCCTGGGTTCCTAAAGGTCTCAAGCTGCTGGCACTCATCAGGGGTGCCCAGGTGGCTGGGAAGAGGCTGGTGGGGCATTGAGTGCCCTCGAGGGGTGGAAGCCAGGACTCAGGAGACTGTGGGAAACCCGGTGTCCTGCCCGTGAGCAAAGCCCCAGAGTGTGGGCGCCTCCCTCCCTGTGCCCACCACAGCCAAGAGGCCATAGTCCCATAGGCCTGGCTGAGACACACGCCTGGGTAGCAGTACAGAGGCTGGGAGGAAGTGAGCAGGGAACCTGGCATCTGCCGCAGAGGAGGGGCCCAGGATAGGCCGAACCTCCCAGGGAGCCAGTTCAACGGGGCAGGAAGCCAGGGTCTCGGGAGGCCGGGAGAGAATCATCTCCCACCCCAGGCCTCGGGGTGAGAGAGAATCTGCCTCCCGTCCCTCTGTTCCTGGAAGGCAAAGGTGGGCCGGTGCGCCTGGGTGAGGGGAGCCATGCGGGGGTGAGGGCTGGCAGAGGTGAGTTCTGAACCTGGGGGCAGTGGTGCCATGAGCCCTTCCTTCCCAGGTGACCCCAAAACTTGAGCAAGGGTAAAATAAAGCAGAGGTGCAGATGACAGCCTGCTTAGGCTGGGAGTGGGGCGTGTGGGTGTCCTCGAGGTGCAGTCCCTTTGCTCTGAGTGGGAGACGGGCCTGGCACCAAGGGAAAATCAGCTGACTGAAAAGCAAAGCATCTCGACTCAGGAGCATCCTCAGAGCATGTGCTGAGGGTGGCGAGCAGGTTTCTGCGCAGTGGCCTGGGGCACGAGGACAGCGGCCCAGAGCTCCGGTGAGCCTGCAGCCCAGTAGGTACTGCTAGACATGGCTTCACCGCAGTAGTGCTTTTATTATTAAAATCACTGGCGTAGTATGTTTTCAAACTACTCAAACGCGCCACCCCACACTCCAGCACTTTGTGTTTGTGCTGCAAATGTCACAAGATTGACAGCTTCTGCTGTGGGTGACAGGAGTTACAGGTTCTAAGCCAGGGACAGCAGGACCAGATCTGCTATCTCAGAAAGAATGGTAGTGTGGTTGCTCACGCAAGTAATCCCAGCACTTTGAGAAGCCAAGGCAGGAGGATCACTTGAGCCTAAAAGAGTTCAAGACCAGCCTAGGCAACATAGTGATACCTCGTCTCTACAAAAAAAAAAAAAAAAATTTCTTTTTTTTTGAGACAGGGTCTCGCTCTGTGGCTCAGGCTGGAGCGCAGTGTCATGGTGTGATCTCAGCTCACTGCAACCTCTGCATCCCAGGCTCAGGTGATCCTCCCACCTCAGCCTCCCAAGTAGCCAGGACTGCAGACATACACCATCACACCCAGCTAATTTTTCTATTTTTAGTAGAGACGAGGTTTCTCCATGTTGCCCAGGCTGGTCTCGAACTCCTGGGCTCAAGCAATCTCCCTCGGCCTCCCAAAGTGCTGGGATTACAGGCATGAGCCACCTCACCCAGCCGCTACAAAAAATTTTTAAAAATTAGCCAGGTGTGGTGTTACACACCTGTAGTCTCAGCCACATGGGAGGCTGCTGCAGTTAGATAAGCTATGATTGTGCTACTGCACTCCAGCTTGGACTATATTTAGGAAGACCTTGCCTCTGAAAAAACACACACAAGAAAGAATGCCTTTCTCTTAGTTCTCATACTGTGCCAGGCACTGCCTGTGTGCTTACGTGCCCTTCTCGTATTCCTGCAATTTTTGGAGCATCCCTACAGGGTAGTATTAACCCCATTTTGCAGATGAGGAAACTGAGGTACACAGATGTAAAGGAAATGGCCCAAGGCTGCTCATTCAAATCGTGGAGACAGGACCTGTACCCAGGAAGTCTGGCTTTGGAGCCTGTGCTGCCACCTTTATGCACAGGGAGAAAGATAAGACCTTTAAAAACAGAGCAGAAATTTAGAAGAATGTTGTCTAATCTTGGGATGAGAGATCCTCTTAAGCGGACAGAAAACCCAGAATTTATAGAGGAACAAACTGACAGATTCCCCCCACCCCCAGCTTTTTATTTTGAAAAATGACAGCATTTAAAAATGTGATCATTATTAACATTTTACCGCATTTGCTGGCTCTCTGTCACTGCCTCATGCTCACATATGTTTTTTCAGCAGTTGTAGACACACTGACACATCTTCCCAAGCTCTTCAGCAGGCATCTCCTGAGGACAGGCACATCATTCTACACAACCATTACACCAGAATAGCACCTAGGAAGGTCAGAAGAGCTCCCTGATATTTAGTAGCTGACCCATAACCACACTTCCCCAGCGATGCCTGAAAGGTCTTACAGAGCTTTTTTTGTTTTCCTAGATAAGGATGAAACAGGATCCAATGTGATACCTTTTCCCCCATGACATGGACTTATTGTAGGGCCAGGACCCATTTTCCTGTAGAAGGCCCGAGTCCTGGAACCGTGACGTGGGCTGGCTGGCGCTGGGTGTTTTCTGTCTTGTTCCTTTCTCCCTTGTGGGGTCTTTGAACTGAACTGTGATCTGGAAGCTCAGCGGGAACACCCGGTTCCTCCACGGGACCACAGCCTTAGTGCCGTGGCGGGGGCGTGAGGACTGGGTCTCTCCAATGTGAAGGTTCATTTCCTCCCTCTGTAATTAGTAAGTAGTCTGTAGGGGTGATCATTCCACACGCTCGAAATAAACTGCCCCGCACAACTGTTCACCTGATGGTTTTAGCGTCCATCAATGATCTTTGCCTGAGTTGGTGATATCGGGATTGTCAAGGTGGCCGTAAACCCGACAATCTTTCTGTAAGTATTAGCCAGTGTTCTGTTAAGAGCAGCATCTTCCCACTCTTATCTTTAGTGTCGCCCTTGTGTCATGGATTTTGTTGTTCAAATGTTATAACCAGTGACAAAACTAGCAGACATGTAATTACATTTCTGGGTCATAAAGCAGGAGGACCTCTTGCAGTGCACATGTGCCGGATACATGCTTTGCGTGCCCGCTATACGAAGAGCTCCTGCAGATTAAGAAAACGATTTGAAAAACCCAAGAGAAAAACAGGCCAAAAGAAAAGAAAGACAGGCAAAGAGTAGGATCAAGACAAATGAAAGAAGAGGAAATGCTTTGTGTTGCTGATGAACATGAAAAGGCGCAACCTCACTAGTAATCAGGGGCGTGCCCATCAGAAGCGCCAGGGACTGGTTCCCCGGTTGGAAGAGCAGACTGCTGGCGCACAGGGTGCACCGACATCCCCACCCACGGCTGGTGGAGAGCAGGAGAAGGGATTGCTACGACCAACCTGGAAAAGTAACGGCGTTATCCATTCACATGAAGCATTCACATGCCTCGGGAAGAACACACCATAGGCACACAGGTATTGATTACCGCCTTGCTTGTGGTAGCTAAAAAAGAAGGAAGTGACGTGACTGTCCCTCAGCAGGGGAAGGGTTGAAGAACGGACAGAACATGCATACTGTGAGATGCTATGAAGCCAGGCCACCGGAGCAAGCTAGAGCCAACCCAGTGGCCTGGGGAGGGCCCCAGGTGCCCCTGGCGGGGCGGTTTGGTGTGAACTGCAGCGTGAGCAGGAGCTGGGAAGACAGTCACTCAGGACGCATCTGTGTTAAGGAGAGGGAAGAGGGCATGCGGCCAAAACAGTGGTTTTCTGAGCATGTTGTGAATGTTTTCTTACCCTGAAATAAAATTTAAAAAAGATTGGCAGAGTGCACATTTATACTAGCCACAGCCTGTGTTCTTCCTCTGTATCCCCTCAGAGTCTGACTCAGAGGATTTTCCTCTCCTCATTCCAAGGGGGAACAGTCTTCTGTTTCTTTTTACAAAGTAATATATCGTCTGTAAACATTTCAGAAAACAGGGTGATGTACACTTACTGCAGAAAAACATAAAAGAAGCAAAAGAAGTCACCAGTAATTCTAACCAGAGGCAGGCAGCCACGGTCACCATTTTGTCATTATTTTGATATTTTCTTGCATTTTTTATACAGGTCCATATAATTTTGTTACATACAAATTTGTATCTGACTTTTTAAACAATCAAGTATTATGCCAGTCATGGTGGCTCACACCTGTAATCCCAGCACTTTGGGAGGCTGAGGTGGAAGGATCACTTGAGGCCAGGAGTTTGAGACCACTGTGGGCAACATAGGGAAACCCCGTCTCTACAAAAAAAAAAAAAAGAAAAAAAATTAGCCGGGCATAGCTGACACACACCTGTGCTCCCAGCTACTTGTGGGGCTGAGGTGGGAAGATCTCTTGAGCCCGGGAGGGGAGAGGCTCCAGTAAGCTCTAATCTCGCCACTGCACTCCGGCCTGGGGAACAGAGCCTGTCTCCAACCCCTCCATTCCGCCCCCCCCCCCGACACCACACACACACACACACACACACACACACACACACACACAGTCAAGCATTGCCACCCACCCATGCTAGGTAAGAGTCTTTTTTTTTTTTTTAAACCAGCTCATGTTTAATTGTGACATTTTAAAATTGTACAAGTATTTTGACGTCTGCCCCCCACATTTAGTCTCTTAAAATGACAGGAAAACACCAACCAATCTGAGGTTTAATGGGTTTAATAAGTTTACCTCTCAGTTCCTACTTGTAGCACCCAATATTCCTTTGAAAATATGAAACAGACCTGTCAGTGGCCAGCAGTGAATTTCTGCCCCGCCAACAGAGTTGAAAAGTTCAGGTACTCTGAGCATTGTGTTGCAGTGGCACTTGTCCAGAATTGGTACCTCCCCATAGTTGGGGGCTTTAAATGTACCAGTGAAAATAGCTTTTTCCTCTTCAAGCGGAAGAAAGAAAATCACTCCTCAAAACACAGCAGATCTGGGTGTGAGGTCTTTCCTTTTGTCTCTTCAGGCTGGTGAAAGAGTCTTTGCAAAAATTTATATTAAATTAAATTATTTATTTTTTTGAGACAGGGTCTCACTCTGTTGCCTAGGCTGGAGGATAGTGGCACAACCTCGGCTCACTGCAACCTCCACCTCCCAGGTTCAAGTGATCCTCTCACCTTAGGACTACAGGCATGCAACACCAGCCTCAGGTGCTTTTTTTTGTTTTTAAGATGGAGTTGCACTGTCACCCAGGCTGGAGTGCAGTGGTGCAGTCTTGACCCACTGCAGCCTTCTCCTCCCGGGTTCAAGCAATTCTCCTGCCTCAGCCTCCGGAGTATCTGGGATTACAGGCACGTACCACCACACCCAGCTAAATTTTGTATTCTTAGTAGCACAAAGTTTTGCCGCGTTGGCCAGGCTGATCTCGAACTCCTGACCTCAGGTGATTCGCCCGCCTCAGGCTCAGGATTTGAAAGCCTCCCAAAGTGCTGAGGTTATAGGAGTGAGCCACCACGCCTGGCCTCTCAGGTGCTTTTAAACTTCTGTCCACTAGACTCTCAGCCTGTCTGAATCTTTTAAAAAATCGCTGCACTGTTACCTGCAGTGGCCTAGAGCATCCCTCACAGTGCAGCACCTTCGCACGTCTGCACCTGCACTTTCAGCAGCTGTTTTCCACACTTCCTCCACATCAGTCCTGCAAAATTAGTGCAATGATTTGAACACTTTATTGCATCTTCTGTTTATAAAAATATTTTGCGGCCGGGCGTGGTGGCTCACGCCTGTAATCCCAGCACTTTGGGGGGCCAAGGGAGGTAGATCACCTGAGGTCAGGAGCTCGAGACCAGCCTGGCCAACATGGTGAAACCCCGTCTCTACTAAAAATACAAAATTTAGCCGGATGTGGTGGCACGCACCTGTAATCCCAGCTACTCGGGAGGCTGAGGCAGGAGAATCACTTGAACCCGGGAGGCGGAGGTTGTAGTGAGCTGAGATCGTGCCATTGCACTCCAGCCTGGGCGACAAGAGCAAGACTCCGGCTCAAAAAAAAAAAAAAAAAGTTTTTGCTTTTGGGGCCAGGCACGATGGCTCATGCCTGTAATCCCAGTACTTTGGGAGGCCAAGGCAGGCAGATTGCTTGAGCTCAGGAGTTGGGAGGCCAGCCTGGGCAACATGGTGAAAGCGGTCTCTACAAAAAAAATACTAAACCTAGCTGGGCGAGGTGGCACACCTGTAGTCCCAGCTACTTAGGAGGCTGAGGCGGGAGGATCGATTGAGCCCAGGAGGTCAAGGCTGCAGTGAGCTGTGATGGCGCCATTGCACTCCAGCCTGGGTGACAAAATGAGACCGTCTCAAAAAAATTTTTTTTTTTTTACTTTTGTAAAAAATACAAAGGCAAGTGGAAGGGATGGTGCTGCTGACAGGGAATGAATCTCATACTTGGAATGCATTTTAGAGGCTCATTGGGTTGGAAGAGGCAGAACTCTAGCTCATGGGACTGCAGCTGGCCTGCCTGTTCAGAGAGAACCACATTTTTAAATGTCGAAAGTGTAGGCGATGGGTCAGTTATGAGAAAAAGGTGCAACACGGCATAGAGCCGTACGATGCTTCATATTCTGAGTCTGGAGCCCCCACCGTCCCACCCTGTGGTGGTGGCCCACCTCCTGCCCCCACCCTTCAGGCCATGGGAGGGCTGGAGATGCTGTGAGGTGTAGGATCCTCTGGCACGGCACCGGCCCATGCGGGGGGTGCAGCACATGCTGGTCGCGTTCCTCTCCAGGGAGGAGCTGCTAGAAAGCAGAGCTAAGCCCACAGTTGCTGTTGCTGGTCAGAGCTGGAGTGGCGTCACGGGCACTTCCAGGGTCTTAGAACATGGCCAGATGGGACAAAGCCAGGAGGCCAGATGGGGGACATGCTAAGGGACCGAGTCTTCGAGGGGAGGGCCTTTGTCCTGTCCACCATTGCACCCAGCACAGAGCTCATGGATAGACAGGAAAACAAACTGCTCTCAAGTACCATCTGTAGTACTACAATACCGCCATGTCACCGGCCTGGTGTCGAAAGGCCATTTTCGGCTGGAATGACAGCCACTCCCACCCCCACCCTGGGGTAATCTCAGTTTCCCTGCTCCTTGCACTGCTCTCGGTCCTGTGGCTCTCTCTGCCACCCGCACCCCCACCAGCACCTCTGCCGCCTTCTCTCCCTCAGCTTTTCCCTGGGGAGGAGAGGACCAAAGTCACTGGGGAGCTCTCAGACCGACATCCTGACCTCTGGAGATGGGGCAGAATCCCCGGGCCTCAGAGCAGCCTTCGGAGGGTCCCAAGGATGTAGGCTGGGTCCTACGCCAGTCCAGACTGCCAGCCGCGTCACCTTGAGGCAGGGTGGGGCAGAGACTTCAGTCTGCTTGCCCTGAATGCACTTAGTAAGCACTCAAAAAATAATGTGAAATGATGACTTAGAGGCCCAAGCTCCAGCCTGGGATTCTGGAGTCCTGGGCCCTGCCCAGGCTCTGTCACTGCTGGGCTGTGTAACTGCAGGCAAGTGACTTCCCCTCTCTGGGTGTCAATGCCCTCATCTCTAAAAGGAGAGGATGAACCAGAACACGAGTTCTGAACCTGGAACCCATGGCAGGGATTAAGGGGACTCGGACCTCCTCAGAAAACACCTGTGTGTTCTTCCCAGTATGCACTAGCTTTTCTGGAGAGCTCATAGCTTCCTAGGGCTGTGGTAATAAACCATTGTAAACAGGGTGGTTTGAAACAACCTAAGTCTGTTCCTAGCTGGCTGCGGTGGCCCATGCCTGTAATCCCAGCACTTTGGAAGGTCAAGGCCAGTTGATCACTTGAGCCCAGGAGTTCTAGACCAGCATAGGCAGCATAGTGAGACTCCCACCTCTGTAAAAAAAAAAAAAAACAAAAAACAAAAAACAAAGAAAACAAAGAAAAAATAGCTGGACATGGTGTTGCATGCCTAAAGTCCCAGCTACTTGGGAGGCCGAGGCAGGAGGATTGCTTGAGCTTAGGAAGTCGAGGCTGCAGTGAGCTGTGATTGCCTGGTTAACAGAGGGAGACCCTGTCTCAAAAACCAAAAAGTTTACTGTGTCACAGTTGTGGAGGCCAGATGTCTGAGATAAAGGTGTGGGCAAGGCCACGCCCCCTCTGAAGGCACTAGGGAGAGATCCGCCCCACACCTCTCTTCCTGGCTTGTCGATGCCGTCTTCTCCCTGCATCTCTTCACATTGACTTCCCTTGGTGTCTGTCGACATGCCCAAATTCCCCCCTTTTATAAGGACACGAGTCAGATTGGATTCAGGGCCCACCCTACTCAAGTATGACCTCATCTTAATTACATCTGCAACAACCCTATTTCCAAATAAGGTCACATTCTGAGGTCCTGGGGGTTAGGACTCAGGGCTCTCCAGGGTCCTCCGTATCTCTGAGGTCTCTTAGAGGGGAGATGGAGGGACCAGCCCAGGAATCAAAGCCAAGCTGAGGGGGAGCTGCTAAGGTTTCATGGGCTGACTGCATCTGCCTGGCTTTCTGATGTGGAGAGGGCTGGTTTCAGTGATCCCAGCGTCCACTCTGGCTCTCCCTTGCGCAATAGGAGCAGCTCCTTCTGTTGCTTGCCCGCTGCACGCCAGGCACCATGCGGCCCTCCATGCTCACAGGGCTGGCCTGCACAGCACCTTTAGCTGGAAGCTGGGCCATTCCTAATTTACAGACAGACCTGAGGTTAAGGAGACCGTGGCTGGTCACCCACCAATAGGTGCCAGAGGCTGAACTTGAATCCAGCTTTCTCAACTCCAGGGTGCGCCGTGCCTTTCAACTTGGGGCCTGTGCAGATTATTTTGCCTGTGCCTGTGACTTCTCTCAAAAGACTGGCCCAGCCAGGGCCCATCTCTCTTAGGCCTTCCTCCCCACAAAGAGGCCAAAAGCCCTGGGAGCACAGTGCATGCTCAGCAAAGACTTCCACTCATTCACTCGGGGAATCATGGCCACCTTCATGTGCCTGGCAGAGTTCTGTTGTGGGGGCACTTGCTGACAGTGGCAAGTGTTAGATGATGTTAGCATGGTCACTGAGATGGTCAGCCTCCCAAGGAAGGGATGCTTCAGCCACGGTCCAAATGCCTTCAGGGACAAGCAGGGCAGAGGCCCGGGAGGTGTCAAGGCTGGATGGGGATGGAGGCGGGTCCTGGGGAGGGTGTCAGGTGAGAGCAAGCAGGTAGTCAGGAGCACACGGGGCACTGGAACAGAATAAGGGGATTGGGTGCCATTCTACGCCAGCTGGAGAGCCATTGCAGGGCTTTGCTGAGAGGTGACCAGGTTCTGGTCTGAAGAGGTCCGCCCCAGCTGTAAAGGAAATCACTTGGCAGTGGTGGTGATGGAGGCTGGAGATGGGAGACCCCTAGGAAGCTGATGTGGTGCTTAGGCCCGGGAGGATGGTGGCTTGCCTTTGAGTTGAAGAAAGGAGCTGGTGATGGATCTGGGCCACATTTAGGAGGGAGCGCCACCAGGACTGACACGGATTGGGCTGGGGGAGTGGTAAGGAAGGGAATGGAGGGTGTTACTAGCAGGCTTTTGGCTTGTGCGGCTCCAGAGCTCATGTGGTGCTGTTGAAAATGGGGGATGCTGGAATGGAGCTGTTAGGGGTGGAATTTAGGTCCATGGCTGCTGCTGCAGCAACTCGAGTTGTCTCGGGACAGCTGCTGGGACACTTAGGGAGGACTGTGGCCCCACTGGGGAGGCATCCTGAGCGCTCTCCCCCCGCCCCCCGTCTTCTCCTCTGATTCCCTAAGCTCCAACTTGGAGAGCCTGCTGGACACCAGCCAGTCCTGGGGGGCGAAGGGGTCTTGGTGTGGCCCCCACTGCCTCCCGGGCTCAGTGGCGGGTGTGTGGCCAGCCCTAGCATCCTGCCAGCCTTCCCAGCCACTGCCTCAGCCCCGGCTGCAGGAAGATGTTTTGCTGCCACCTTGTGGGCAAGAAGGGCCTGACTGTTTGGGAGGGCCACGGTGGTTCTGGGACCACACCTGGCTGCTGGTGGTTCTGCTCCACACCCTGCGGAGCTGGCCACAAGCTCCGGCTTTCAGGAGAAGGCTTATCCATCCTCCCTCATCTCCTCGAAAGAAATCTGCCAACTCCCTGTGGGCCACGTGGGCTGCAGCGGGCACAGCCAGGGCTCACCAGTGGATCAAGCAACACACACCTGGAGGCGACCAGTTCCCACATCCTCAGGACCAGCTTTCTCTTTCTGGCAGGGTCTCACACCTCACACCTGCCCAGGGGTGTTCTCTCTCCCCGTCATGACCCCCCCGGCCCCTCACCCCCCTGTGCACACGCAAGCAGGGCACCCGAGGCCCAGGCCAGCACAGAAACTGGGCATAACTAGAGTCGGCTTCTCCTCCTGACATCCAGGTAGTCCACAGAAGGGGGTCTTGAGCCCGGCTTCTGCGCTCTCTGGCTCCGGGGCAGGCTGTGTTCGTCCTGCCCCAGGATGCACACTGCGGGCATTTGTGAGAGATTTCCTCTTAGTCCCCCAGAAACTGCCATGGAGCCTCTCAGCCCCTGAGAGTCACATTCAGTCCAGCGTTTCCGGTGGCCTTAATAAACAGAGAACTGACGTGAGGGCTTGTGTTGTGGGATTTCAGTACTGTTCGTGTAGTCCCAGCCTGGAGCTTTTTAGGTTTGTCCTAATTTCCTTCGGGCCCAGTAGGTAGTGGCTGTCTGTGTCGAGCACAGCTGTGTTTGCTGCGTGTCTTTGGAGCAGAATCTTATCAGGCACAACAGAGACCTTATCTCTGACCCTGGGCTGACCCAATGAGCAAAAGAGGTGTGTGCCTGCAGCTGTTCTCCTTTTCGGGGTCTTTGACTGGCTTGATGTCCTGAGACATTTATGTGGGAGCAGGTGCCCTTCCCTGTCTAGTTTCTCCGGGTCAGGAAAGTTTTCTGGGGAAAAGGACTGGGAAGGAGAGGGCAGCCAGGTGAGGAAGAGAAAGCTGTTCTGGGTTTGGGAGTTGACCCAGGTGGCACTTTCTCCTTGGACTGATTCTGCAGGTGCAGTGGGACTACATGTCTTCTGAGACTGTAAGATGTTCTTTTGGGGACTGGGATTGCTGCCTGCCTTCCCCGAGACGTGTGTGTGTGTGTGTGTGTGTGTGTGTGTGTGTGTGTGTCCAGCATGTGTGCAGCTGGGGCCTTAACCCCCTTCTTTCCCATCCTACTGTTCTCCCACTGAAAGAGGCAGCTAGGTTCTAAAGTGATCCATCCCCTGTCGGATACCGTGTCCCCATCCCCTCTCCGTCTCCAGAGGTCGGCTCCCATAGCTGCTGTCCTGTGCTTGCTTCTTATTTATTGAGACAGGGTCTCACTCTGTGGCCCAGGCTGGAATGCAGTGGCTCCATCTTGGCTCACGGCAACCTGGACCCTCTGGGCTCAAGCGATCCTCCCACGTCAGCCTCTCAAGTAGCTGGGACCACAGGCTCGTGCCACCATGCCTGGCTAATTTTTCATATTTTTTTTGTAGAGACGGGGTTTCACCATGTTGCCCAGGCTGGTCTCCAACTCCTGGACTCAAGTGATCTGCCTGCCTCGGCCTCCCAAAGCGCTGGGATTACAGGCGCGAGACACGGTGCCTAATTTTTTGTATTTTTAGTAGAGATGGGGTTTCACTACGTTGGCCAGGCTGGTCTCGGACTCCTGACCTCAGGTGATCCGCCTGCCTCAGCCTCCCAAAGTGTTGGGATTACAGGTGTGAGCCACCGCGCCCGACCCTTTGCTTGCATTTTCACTGGCTTGCAGGATGAGCTTGTGAGTGGGCAGCCTTATTCTTTGGCAGAACAGCCATTCCCTGTTGTGCGTGAGAGAGAGGGCAGATACACGTAGATAGGGAAGTCAAGGCAGAATGTGTTTCCTTTTGATCTGCAGCTCAGTGACGTTGGCCGGCTTCACTGAGTTGTGTTCTTGTCTCTGTACCTGCCTGGGGACCTGGGAAGGGCCCCTCTGCTGGTACTTCCATTGTGGGGGGAACATGCATCCCATACAGGAAGAAGCCGTCTTCACCAACGCTAATAACTAGTCCCACGGAAATACAAACTCACCACCAGGGCCTCTCCAGGCCTGGGAGATCCAGCCCAGGACTTGGGAATTTCCAGCGCTCTTTTCTGCAGGGAGCACCTAGGATGGAGAGGCCCTGCCTTCCTTAGGCATTCCCACTCAGCCCCTCAGGAATGTGCCACTTGTATCTCCCACTTGGCTCTGACCAGGTCCATGGAATTCTAAAGCTGAAAGGGACGCTGGGAGTTGGGCTGGACTGGGGGTGGAGGAAAGTGGGCAGTATTGTCTTTTTAAAGGAAATGCAAGCCCCTGGTCCCTTGCCACTACTTAAACTGGTTTCTCCTGATCCGTGGCTGGTATTGAGGCAGCCAGTGGTTTCTGACTTTATGGATGACCGGAAACTGGCTGGGCTTCAGAGCCTGGGAGAGGACTGATGTTTACAATGCAGTGTCAATCACAGCCGGGGAGCTCTTGCCTCCAATTCTGGGTGAGCTCTGGGTTTACTGGGTGTCCAGGCAGCCCACAGTCATGAATTGGAAGGGCCTCGGAGCTTGGAGGAGTGTTTTCATTTACAGAACGTCAGGCTGGAGCCAGTACCGCAGGCTACCACTTGATCTCAGCCCATCATCCCGACAGGAGGTGAGACCCAGTGAGCAGCAGGGGCCTGGAGAGGTCCGGGCCTCAGAAGTGAGTCACTCACCCAGAACTGCAGCGGAGGTTATCTTTGACTTCTCTGCTGCCCTTAGGCAGGACGCTTAACTCAGTCCAGACAGATGAGTATCTTCTGGATTTTATAATCTCCAAAGAAGACAGCCTCAGTCATCAACAGAAACCGACTGTAGCAGCCAGCAACTCTCGACCTCAGAATGTCAGAGCCGAAACTAAGACAGGACCACCTCGTTGAAGCTCGCGTGCTGCAGACGAGGACACGCGCGCAGACCCGGCATGGCTGCCTCTGACGTCTCACTCAGGCTTGTCATACTTCTGGGCCTCATGTTCTTGGCTCTTCTGGCTCTTCCTTTGAAGAATGAGAAATGGCCCGCTTTTCTCCAAAATGGGGCCCAGTGTGTGGTGGACTGAGGACTGTTATTTAGTTGGCCTGCTCGTAATGACAGCTCCTCACCTACCTGCCGGATCCTAGGAGGCGCCCTGGGCTGGAATTTCCTGTTTTCGAGGGCTCCCAGGGGCTGCCCCAGCAGGCCGGCTCCCCCGCGCCGCGCCGCCGTTCCCGGGCGTTCCAGGCCAGACTTGCCGCCTCTCTCTCCGGGCTGGGCTGACTCCCGGCCTCTCCAGGTCTGGGCTTGCCGGCCGCGAGGTGGAGGAGTTGAGGGACTCGGTCGGCCCACACCAGGTGCCCAGAGGCCGGAGGTCCGTGCGCCCCGGCCGCGGCCCCGGCCCGGGCCCAGCCCCGTGCCCCTCGCCATGGGCCTGGCCCGCGCCCGCCGGCCCTGAGCATGGAGCGGGGCTGGCCGCAGGGGGACAGCTGTCCCGGGGAGCGGCCCGCCGCTTGCCGCCGCGCCCACAGCGTCTGCGACTCGCTGGACCTGCACGGCGCCTCGGCCGGCCGCGCTGCCGCCGCCCTGCAGGCCGCCCTCTGCGCCGCCAGTGAGCAGCCGGCGCGGCCGCGGAGCGTGTGCTCGGGCGGCCCGGAGCCGCCGCCCACCGGCGCCCGCGGCCTTTTGCTCGGCCTCCTGCGCCCGCGCCTCGGCCGCCGGGGCCTGGCGCCCTCGGGACCGCCCGTCTCGCCTGCGCCCAGCCCCGCGTCCAGCCCCGCGCCGACCCGGCGCAGCCGCACCCGCGGGGAGCCGACTCCGCGGCCCCGGCCGGCCAGCATGACTTTCCTGGAGGTGAACCGCCTGGAGCTGGCGGCCGCCGAGGCGCCGGGCGCGGGTCTGGGGCGCGCGGGCAGCGCGGGCTTCCTGCGCGGCGCGGCGTTGTGGAGCAGCCAGCGCTGGCCAGTGCTGCGCGGCGGGCGCGGGCCGGAGGGGCCCCGGCGCGGCCTGGCGGCGCTCAGGAAGAGCTTCAGCTTCCGCCTGCGCCGCGGCCAGGAGGTGCGGCGCTCCGAGTCAGGGCTGCTGGCCCGGCCGCCGCGCGCGCGCACCCGTAGCGACGGCGACGCCGGCTCCCTAGGCGCCTTCCCCAGCCGCCGCGACCTGCTGGGCTCCGACGCCCCGCGCGCAGCGCCGGAGCCCGGCCGCCCCCGCACCGCCGCCGGCCTCTGGAGGCTGCTCACGAGCCGCTTCCGCCGGAGGGAGCCCGCGCCCGCCGCGCCGCTGTGGGGCCGTCGGGCGGCTGCGGCCCCGGAGCTCCTGCGCGCGCCCAGCGGTAAGGGGGCGGGCCTGGGGGGCGTCTGGCAGAAAACAGCTCGCGGGAGAAAAGCCGGACGCGCCCAGGGCAGGCGAGCTGCCGCGCGCGTCCGGGGCTGGCGGGGTCTGGGGTCTGGACCGAGTGTCGTCCGCGCCTGGCGTCTGGGGTCTTCGGCAGTGGCCGAGGAGGACAGGCCGGAGGGGGAGCTCTCGGGTGCGGCCCAGGAAAGGAAGAGGAGACTCACCAGAGTCAGAGGGCTCTGGGCTAGGCCAGACACCTTTCCTAGTTCCCTGTCGGGGCAGCGCGCTCGCCTCCGGTTGCCCCTGTGCATGAGGTTAGGGACTGCTGTGGACCTGGTCGTCATAACTGCTCTTTGACACAAACTTGGGACAGTGCCTCTGGGAGCCAGGGAGGGAAGCAGTGCTGCCCAGCTAGAGAGGGGTTCCCAGAGCTAGCCCGAGCACCCATGTGGAACCTGGAGGTGACGGAGATGGGGGCCTGGCTGTCGGAGGGCTCTGGGTAAAGGGACTTGCCAGTCAGGTTCTGAGGACAGACTGAAGGGAAGGGAGCCCAGGAGGCGGCCTCCCTGCTAAGGAGGAGCTTAGAGAGGAGGCGGGTGGGGTAGATGGCTCCCTATCCACCTGCCCCTGGCAGAACAGGGCCAGGCCAGGCCAGGCTCCTCCCTCTTCACCCGGCTCAGGAATGTGGTGGGTGGCCCCACCCTGCCAGGGTGCGCTGTTCTTACTTGCAGGAGTCTGCCCCCCAACCAGGTGCCCAGCCCTTGGGTCTGTTCTGAGACCTGCTGGAGTGGCCTCTAACCTGGGCCTGGTATTTGGGCCACAGGGGCACTAGGCCAGGTGTGGCTTGGTGGGGGGACAATAAACCTGCTGGAGCAGGAAGAGGAGGAAGGACACAGGGCCGAAACCAGGGGGACTGAGCCCACAGCCCTCAGAGTCCTGTTCTGAAGACCATCCTTACTCTGCTTCACTCAAGAAGAACCTTCCCACTGCCTCCTGGGGAACTAGGGGTGAGGGTTGGGGGTCCCGTGGAGGAAGCTGCTGTCCTCTGGCCTGGGCTTGGGGAGGGCATCATAGGTGACACAGGCAGCAGTGGTTGGGACAGGTGTGTGTGCCACCCTGGCCCTGACGGGGCGGCTCTGTCTTCCGCAGACTCGTTTGTGAACAGCCAGGAGTGGACGCTGAGCCGCTCCGTACCGGAGCTTAAAGTGGTGAGTGTGGCCCATGGGCAGCACCGGCGGCCTGGAGCTGGGGGGGCGAGGCTGGGTGCCGCGGGCCTGGGCCTTGCTTCTCCGGCTTCTGTCCCCTTCTCTGCTCAGCTTGGCCCTCTCTGCCCTCTCTCCTCCCCTTCAGCCCTGGCCTTTCTCCCTCCTGCTGCTTCTTTGCTTTTCCTGCTGGGTCTTCTCCCTCGTGCCCTCTGCCCTCTGACCCACTCACCCCTTCCTCTCCCGCAGGGCATAGTGGGGAACCTGTCTAGCGGGAAGTCAGCCCTGGTGCACCGCTATCTGACGGGGACCTATGTCCAGGAGGAGTCCCCTGAAGGTGAGCGTCACAGGCCCAGCCTGGGCCCTGAGGCCGGCCACTCCTCCAGCTCCTGCCCACAGGGTCTGGGTGGGGGGTCTCCAGCCCCCTTCCAGTCCTCTTCCCTCCCGCATGGGAAGCTGTAGATTTCTTCTTGGCCCCTGGATTCTTTCTCCACACTTTGGACCTGACTGCGCGCTCTGTCCTAGGGGGGCGGTTTAAGAAGGAGATTGTGGTGGATGGCCAGAGTTACCTGCTGCTGATCCGAGATGAAGGAGGCCCCCCTGAGCTCCAGGTGATGCTCCTGCCCAGGGTTAGGGCCCACCGCTGTGCCTGGAGCCCTTTCTCGAGCTTGCTGGTTGGGACTGGGAGAGGTGGTATGTCCAGGGAGAAGGGTCTACTTGAGTTCACCTGCCCTGCATGGGAGTTTGCCAGGTCCAGTTGCGGGTGCTAATTTTACTTGCTCTACCCTAGTTTGCTGCCTGGGTGGATGCAGTGGTGTTTGTGTTCAGCCTGGAGGATGAAATCAGTTTCCAGACGGTGTACAACTACTTCCTGCGTCTCTGCAGCTTCCGCAACGCCAGCGAGGTGCCCATGGTGCTTGTGGGCACGCAGGGTGAGGCGGGGCCCTGCAGGAGCTGGCAGAGAGCAGGAAGTCCCGGGCAACGATGCATGGGGGCAGGGGTGGGCAGGTGTGAGAAAGCCCCCAAGCCCCTACTCTTTTCCCAGTGCTGACTGGGACCCTCAGCACTCTCCGTGCTGCTCGTGTCTGAGGGCTTTTGCCCCCACTGAAACCTGCTGTCCCTGTGACTAGCAGGTCTGTGTTTTTTTAGATGAATAAACGTGCTCAGAGCTTAAGTGCTTGCTGGTTTGCACTCAGTGAGGCCATGGAAGGGTTGAAATGAGACCCAGGCACCCGCGTTCTTGGTGCTCTGTGTGTTCCACTCACCAGGCCCTTTGCACACCTGCCCTTGGGCCAAATGCCCCCCACCACACTACCCCAGCTTCTCCGAAAGCTGAATGACTCCCGCCCTCCCACCTCCAACAGATGCCATCAGCGCTGCGAATCCCCGGGTTATCGACGACAGCAGAGCCCGCAAGCTCTCCACAGATCTGAAGCGGTGCACCTACTATGAGACGTGCGCGACCTACGGGCTCAATGTGGAGCGTGTCTTCCAGGACGGTAACTCGGGTGCCGGGTGGGAGTCACTGGCAGCCGCGGCCCCAGTGCTGGCGATAGGAAGGCTCCCAGTGAGAGCAAGGCTGTGTGTCTGGGGGGAGGTGCTAAGCCAGGCTTTTCCCTTCTCTCCAGTGGGTATAATTGACTCTGCTGTCCCCTGCAGTGGCCCAGAAGGTAGTGGCCTTGCGAAAGAAGCAGCAACTGGCCATCGGGCCCTGCAAGTCACTGCCCAACTCGCCCAGCCACTCGGCCGTGTCCGCCGCCTCCATCCCGGCCGTGCACATCAACCAGGTTCGGCCTGTGCCCCGCCCTGCCCTTCCTGTCCCCACCATGTCTGTCTTGCCTCTGTGCGTCCTGCCACTTCTGCTGGCCTCCTGCTCACACCTGTCCACCTTCCTCTGGCCTCCCAGCCTTGCATGTTGCTTGGAAACATTGGTTGGAATTCCATTTAGCCGGCACCGTAGCCTTGGCCTCATCCCTGCCCCACGGTGCCTGCCCCTTCCCGCTGCAATCCCCACTTCTCTCTGCTCTCCACCATTCCACAGCCTGCATTCCCTACCCCGATGCCCTCTGCTGAAAGTCCTGGGCCATCCACAGGTGGCATGGTCAAGGCAGCAGCCACTGCACTTTACCTCTGCCAATGACCGTCATCTCTCCAAGGCCTGCCCTGGCTGCAGCTGGTATTCCAGTGACAGCCTGGTTGCATTTCAGAGACCCTTCCCTTCAGGGCTGTGAGAAGGCGGCAGCGTTCCCATGTGGGAAAAAGGAGGAGGAGGGCTGTGTCCTTCTTACTGTCTCTGAGCAGCCCCGCCCGACACCGACGGAGTGGGGCTTGCGCAGCTCACTTCTGCAGTGGTCCCTGTCCCGAGGGGCAGGTTGTGGAGGGGCAGTGGTCCAAGCACCTCTTGTACAGGTTAGGGTTCAAGGGAGGCAGCCGGGTAGGCCACACGCTCTAGTGAGGGCAGTTGCGGTGCAGACCACCTGGTTGTGCCGTGCATGCTTCCCGAGTCCTGGAGGAGCTGCCCTACTGTTTCTTCTCCATTCTGTGATCTCTGTCTTTTTCTCTTTCTTTCCCTTCTCTGTTCCACATCCACACCTTACTCTGATTGGGAGTCATAGCTCTGTTCTCTCTGCCCCAGCTGTCCCGGAATCCCTTTCCCTGCCATGGGCATGCTAGAAACATGCTGCAGTGCCCTGGGCCACCTCCGGCTCCCGCCTCCTGGCCTCCTGCACTCTAAACATACATACCTGAATGTGAGAGTTTGTCCGGGGTGACCCTCTACCTCCTTCCAGACCACCTGCAGGTCAGGACTCCAGTCTGTTCACTGCCAGGCCCTGCAGCTGATTCCCACCTACCAGCCTGTGCCTCTGACTTAGCTCCCTGGTTGGCCAGAAGCACTCCTGCCGGGGCCCCAGGACGAGGGTTTGCTGCCCTAGTGGGGCAGCCCTGGCAAGGTGACAGTAGATCCTGCTGGCCTCCAGGCCAGGTGAATGTTCCCCCCATATCATCTGTAGGGGCTAGTGGCCCCTCTGCTGCCCATGAGCCCCGGCCAGGCCCCCATTAGCACAGGGATTCCCGGCACCCGCCTGGTGCCCGTCCCGCCCCTGACCCGGAGCTGCCCTCAGCAGCCCTCTTTGTCCTTAGGCCACGAATGGCGGCGGCAGCGCCTTCAGCGACTACTCGTCCTCAGTCCCCTCCACCCCCAGCATCAGCCAGCGGGAGCTGCGCATCGAGACCATCGCTGCCTCCTCCACCCCCACACCCATCCGAAAGCAGTCCAAGCGGCGCTCCAACATCTTCACGGTACGTGACTGCCCTCCTCCCCCGCCCAGCTGCCTTTGCTGCACAGGCAGGGCTGAGCGCCGAGCTCCCAGCCAGGAGGGGCGTGGGCAGCCCCAAGTCAGGAAGACGGTACCTGCAGTCTCTCCCTCAGATACACACGGCTCCCGAGGGTCCTTGCCGGTGCCCTCAGAGTCTTCCAGACTGTTCTCTGCACCCACAAGGGGTTTCCAGTAGCGGCCCTTACCCTGTCCCCACAGTCCTCCCTGCCCTCTGCCGCACACACTCACCCTCCCCGCCGCCTTCCTCTCTCCTAGGCCCCTTTAGGGTGTCTGTGAGCTTGAAAGTATCCTTGGACTCACTTGGCCTAACTCCCCTGACCCCCTTTGATTCAACAGCTAATGAACCGGCGGCCGGAAGGCTGTTTGCCCAAGGCGACACAGAGGGTTAGCTGGCCCAGCTAGAGTCAGAGCCCAGGCCTCCCCGTCGCCTTCCGGCTCTTTTTCCGTTACCCCACTGCCGAGGGGAAAATTCATGCTTTCCACCCACCGCTGTGATTGGTTTAACAAAGGCTTAGCCATCTTTTCCTGGGCTTCACCACGCTGCCTCGTTCCTCCCTCTCAGGTTTGTCCTGTCTCCTTGTGAGCTCCTCACTCACCCCTCACAAACCTCACACCCCACACCTGGGGGCTGTTGTGCTGGCCCGGCTGAGGGTGGCCTCTGGCTCTCAGGCCCCAGGGCCTGCTGTCTCTCCACTCCCAATGTGCGACACACAGTGCCCATCCAAACCCTAATCCTCCAGCCGGGCTTGGCTGGATGTTCCAGGAGTCTTGGGCCAGACAAAGGTGGGTGAACCCCCGTGTGGGTTGTCACGAGAGCGCCCGCCCCTCCGCGTCACTCCATGCGCCTCTTTCCGAGAGCAGGGCTTGGCTCTCAGCCTGGGCCCGAGTGCGGCCAGCCAGGCCAGATCTCCGGACCCTGCCCGGACAGAGCTGGCACTTCCAAGCCCTGCTCACTCATCCTCGCCTCTGCCTGCCCAGCTCACTTCTCCCTCCCGGCTGCCTGCCTCTGTCCCGAGCCCGCCACCTGCCCTCGCGGCCATCCATGCTAACAGAGACTCTGTGCTGACGGTCCGCCACACATTGCAGCTGCCCGGCCCTGACCCTGCCTAAATGTGCAGCTTCTCCTTTCTATCCATGGCCATTGAGACATTAGAGCGTGGGGGGGGCCGCCTGCTCGAGCCCACACCTGCTGCTGCTGCTGCTGCGGGACCCTTAGGTGCCTCTGTCCACGGTGCCTACTGCCAGGGCCTGGGCACCCTGCTCCCTGGCATCGTGCCTCAGTCATCCGCTGCCTCAGTTCCATTCTTAATCTCCCCTTCCCCTCGTTGGCAAGCTCTGTAGCAACCCCAGGGCACCCCCTGCCTTTCCCTGCCCTGCTACCCTCTCCTCCGCCCACGCCCAGTCCCCGGCCTCCTCCCTTGCGCCCCGTGCTTCCTGCCATCCTGTGCTCTCTGCTGCCTGCCTCGACTCTGCTGCCCTCCCTCCTGGCTGCTCACGGCACGGCCTTCCCTCTGGCGCTTCCATTCTCTCCATCCTCACAGCGGCGACCTTATATTTTCCTTCCATTGTTTCTGTGGTGACCTCACTTGCACCATTGTCCCTGAGACGGCCTCAAGACGCGTCCGTCTCTGTGGGTGTATCTCGGGACCTCCCCTCTCATCATTGCTGTTGGGGCCTCCCCTCTTCTCCCTCATCGTCCTCCCCAGCAGCGACATGCTTGCTCGAGGGCGAGCCCCTGTGTCCTGCCTGCTCTGTGGCTAGTGACCCCCTACTGGACATGGTTGTGCTGTCCCCAGTCTCTCCTGTGACTTCATGTGCTCATTTCGTTGCTGCTCTTGCCCCAGTTCCTGTCCGCATGGGGAGGTGCCCCTCTGGGCTCCCAGGGGTCCTCTGGTGGTCGGGGCCTCTTGGCTCACAATCTGGCTGGGGTGGGCTGCACCCCACTCCCCCCAAACCGGCTCTTCTGTCTGGGGACCCGGTGGCAGCAGTCCCATCCACCTTCCTCCTCCCTGGGCCAAAGGGGCAGAGGGCTGTGGCGGTCTGGGCCGTGGAGCCCAGGAGGGGATGGGGCGGTGCCGCCTGTGGAGCTGCTGGGTGGCACTTTGCTCTCCGGCGGCTCTTTTGCCCGGTTCTCCTTGTTCCCTCTGGCCTTGCTTTCTCCCACGCTGCAGTTGTGGCCCTGTGTCCCCTCGCTGTGCCCTTGGCTCCTGGCAGCCTGGGAGAACGGGAGGGATGGGGCCTGGGCTGCCGAGTGGCGAACATACCATTCCGTGCTGAGGTGGACGCTTGGCCTGTGTCTGCCCAGCAGGTGCCGCTGCCGCCCGCCGCCGCCGCCGCCTCCTCCTCCTCCTGGTCCTCCTCCTTCTCCTCCTCCTCCTTGTCCTTCTCCTCTTCCTCGTCCTTCTCCTCCTCCTCCTCCTCCTCTTCATCCCGCTGCCGCCGCTCCCCAGGCGCCTGGGTCTCTGCCCTCACCGGTGCTGACCGACTTGTGCGGGGCTTGAGTATAACTTGCCAAAATCTTTATTCTTTCGATATTTGCAGATATGTGCCACTGTTTCCAACTTTTCATCAACAAAAAGGCCTTTCCAACTCCTTCCAAATTAGAAGACCAGTTGGTGACACACAGCACCTCTGGACATGCCCCCTGTGCGGGGCCGGAGGCGGGCCGGGCCCTGGGACTGCTCTCAGATGAGAAGCGGCCGCCGAGCTCCCCACTCCAGAGACCCACGGGAACCTTTGTAACTAACCCCACCCCCAGGGAAGGCTAGGAGCGCCGGAGCCCGCGCTGGGGGCTGCCGGGGACCAGGCCCGGCCGGACGCTGCAGGCTCGCTGCATGGAGAAGAAGGCAGCTCGGCCCCACGCCCGGCGCTGGCCAGCGCGACGAGGCCCAGAGGGGCGGGGGAGTCCAAGCCCGCCCGGCCCGGCTGCTCCTGGGGGGCGCTTTCCTGCCCCTCCCCTCCTCTGCTCCTTCCTGCATGGACCTCTGCCGTTCCTGCTCCTGCTCCGGAAGCCGCCGCCGCCGCCGCGCTTGCCTTGCCCCCTCTTTTTGGCCTCCCCCTATTTCCTAGGATCCGCATTCGGGTGGACTCTGCCCCAGGAGCTTGACAGGGTGCAGGGCCTCTTCTGGCCTCTCTCCTCTCTCTGTCCATCCACTGTGCCCCTTGGGCCACGCCGACGCGCTCGGTGCCACGTGCCGTGTGGTGTCTGTGCCGCAGACGGGCCATCTGCCCGCTCACTTGTGGACTTTGCGCTCCCGGTTGTCGCGCCCTGTGCTCCCGACCAGCAGCCCCACCGTCCACCTCCTCGCCCCCGCTTCTCTTACGCCCCCGCCCCGGGCGTGCTCCTCGCGCCCTCGGCCTCTCTGTCCTTGCTCTTTTGTAAGGGGCGGGCCCGGCTCAGTGACCTGTGCTGCTCTGTATGGTGCCGTGTGTAAGAATAAACCCGTTGGAATACTCGTGGTCTCAGTTCCTTCCCGTCCCGCCGCCCCGGCCCGACCCACTGCTAGGGCTGCCCAGGAGGAGGGAGGCAGGAGGGAGGCCGGGAAGTCCAGGTGGGCAGCTCTCGGCAGACCCTGGGCCTCTTTAACACGCCTCTTGTTTTCTCTTCCAGTCTCGGAAGGGTGCTGACCTGGACCGGGAGAAGAAGGCTGCCGAGTGCAAGGTGGACAGCATCGGGAGCGGCCGCGCCATCCCCATCAAGCAGGTCAGCGCCTCCCTTCCCGTGTGCTCCAGGGCTCAGAATGAGGCCCAGGAATGTGGCGCTTCCCAGGGCCTCTTCTCAGGCCTCTGTGATGGGGGAGATGGCATCAGAGGCCAGCACCACCCTCCTAGGCGGAGTCCTTAACAAGGGACTGGCTCTCCAGTGAGAAGCCACCTTCTCTGCGCCGCCACCTTCAGGCCACGAGCTCTGCCTGTACCTTCTGATCACCACCGGAGGGCAGCAGAGAGCTACCTGCCGTGTTCAGCCAGGCGCTCAGCCTGTCCCGCTGGTTCTGGAGTTGGGTCTGGAGAGGGTTGAGTGGCTCTCTAAGGAAAATGAGCAACCCGAGAAGCCTGCGTGGAAGGGGATACTGAGGGCTAGTCCAGCGCTAGGTCTGTTGGCATGGTTTTGTTAATAAGGGCCTCTGTTCGTCTTTAAAGAAAAAAGTAGACTACCTCCTCACCTCTCCCACCTCCTTTCTAGTCAGTCCTGGGGGCCCTGGGCCTGCCTTCTTCCACACCTCCGGTCTTGGATTCCTGCAGTGGACACGGCATTGCCCCACGGAGGGCGTCTCTTTGATGTGTTGAGCCAGAGCAGCTGGGGTGGATGGGGAGGCATGTCTTTGGTGTGTGGGCAAGAGCCTGAGGAGCTGGGGTGCCCATAAGAACGGGGGCACTTGGCACAGAATTTTTTGGGATCTGGTGGTTGGAGAGGCCATGTACATAGGCAGCCGTACTGCCAGGTTTTGACCACAGAGGAGGCTCACGTGGCCAGAGCCCCTGAGCCTGGCGTGGCAAGGCCTGTGGTCAGGTGTGGCTCTCCTGGGCTGGGACTCATGGGCAGTGTGACTGCTTGTGGGGAGGGGCCAGTCGGTGTGACCAGGATTCATTCGTTAAGGCTAGGGGTTTCTGACCCCCAGCCAAAGTCCATTTAGAATGAAGAGTTCCAAGCAGAGTAGTGTCCCAGAGGGCAGGGTCCCACAGGGTCCCATGCCGTGATCCGTATTGTTTCCACTCACCCCTCTCTTGAAATGTTCGTTGCATTTATGTCTGGCAGTGACCACCCCAGTTGGGCCAGACTACTGGAGGGCCCCCTGGAAAGCCAAGAGCACAGTGACAGCAGCCAGAGGCTTCCCTGTTCGTTCGCGGAGTGCGTGTGTATGT